>NC_000022.11:32042897-32194412 GCF_000001405.40 Homo sapiens | reverse complement strand
CCCTTCCCCACAAGACCTGAGCGCCCAGTGGAAGCAGCTGGAGGACAGAGGAGCTTCCAGCAGAAGAGGTGAGCCCATGCCTGTGTGTGTGTTTTTCCTCTTAGATGCCTAGAAATGGGGGTTATGACTTGGGGGGATGAATGAGAGAAATTCGTAATTAATGAATTCAACAAAGGCCGTCTGAGTGCTGCCTCAGAGTTGGAAACCAGTCACCCTGGATCCCCAGTCTAGGAGTGTAAGAGTGGTGGCAGTCAATTTGGTATTCACTTCCAAGGCTGGAGAAGGATGTAATTTTTTTTATTTTTTTATTTTTTTATTTTTTGGTGAGACGGGTCTTAACTCTGTTGTCCAGGTTGGAGTGACTTGGCGTGATCTCTGCTCTCTGCTAATTTTTGTATTATTTGTAGAGACAGGGTCTTCCTGTGTTGCCCAGACTGGTCTCAAACTCCTCGGTTCAAGGGATCTTCCTGCCTCGGCCTCGCAAAATGCTGGGATTACAGATGTGAGCTACTGCATCCAGCCCCTCTTTTTTTTTTTTTTTTTTTTTTTTGAGATGGTGTCTCACTCTGTTGCCCAGGCCAGAGTGCAATGGCAGGATCTCGGCTCACTGCAACCTCTGCCTCCCAGGTTCAAGTGATTCTCCTGCCTCAGCCTCCCAAGTATCTGGGATTACAGGCATGTGCCACCACGCCTGGCTAATTCTTTTGTATTTTCAGTAGAGATGGGGTTTCCCCATGTTGGTCAGGCTGGTCTCGAACTTTTGACGACCTCAGATGATCCACCCACCTTGGCCTCCCAAAGTGCTGGACAGGCATGAGCCATCGTGCCCGGCCTCCCAGCCCCTAATTCTTATGTTCATCAATCAGTCTCTTGCTGGGGTTCCCCTAGGAGGAGGTGAAATGACCCCAGCTCGCTGTTCCTCACATGGGTGCTGCCATGTCACTGGCTCAGGCTCAGCTGCTGGGTCACCAGGAGAATGGACGCTTCCTCCACCTCAGCTCAGAGCACAGTGATGATTCGTGACTTTCCCAATAGAACTTCAAATCTCTGAAGACGGGGGGTGGGGGGATGTGCTTGAGTGTTTGTACTCATGGTCTTATTCTCGGAGTGACAAAGCTGGAACACAATACCTCTATGCATGAAAAGGTTGTCACTTGTCACAACTAACAGGCTTTCACCTCATGGAAATTTTTTTACCTTGTGTACTTTTCCCCTGGCAGTGGACATGGCTGCACTCTTCCAAGAAGCAAGCAGCTGTCCCGTCTGCTCAGACTATCTGGAAAAACCAATGTCCCTGGAGTGTGGATGCGCCGTCTGCCTCAAGTGCATTAATTCACTGCAGAAGGAGCCCCATGGGGAGGATCTACTTTGCTGTTGCTCTTCCATGGTCTCTCGGAAGAACAAAATCAGGCGCAATCGGCAGCTAGAGAGGCTGGCTTCCCACATCAAGGAACTGGAGCCCAAGCTGAAGAAGATTCTGCAGATGAACCCAAGGATGCGGAAGTTCCAAGGTAAGGCATCTGTATACCCTGCCCCCTTCCCAAGACCAGACCAGGAAAAATCATTTGTGCAGTTGGCCCCTCATTCCACATGGGGATTAGCTGCTGTCTGGCACCTAAAATTGAGATGCTTCATCATCAGATTCTCAGCCCTGACAACATACAGAATCACCTGGTGATGTCAAAAACAAAAACAAACAAAAACCCGATGTCTATGTCATGGGTTAGACAAGGGATTCTCTAAACTTAGTGTGCTCAGATTACCTGGGGATCTTGTTAAAATGCAGATGCTGAACTGGGAAGTCTCAGGATTGATCCCACTGGCTTGGGGACTTTGCTGAGTAGCAAAAACATAGAGCAACTGAATTTGAATTTCTCTCTAGCAAAGGTTCCCAGGACTCTAACATTAAAATGGGCCTGGTAATTCTAATGCACGGTGAATATTGGCACCCATTGTACAAACAACCTTACCCCAGGGTTGGGAAGAGTTGGGAATGGAGCACCTATGGTGTTTGTTTCTGTGAGTGTGGGGAGAGTTTCAGACAGTGTTCTCCTCATCCATGCGCCATGGGCTTCAACAGTGGTCCTGGCTACAGAAAATACTATACATCTCTATAACTCTGGAGAAAAGGGACATTTACATGAAGAGATTATGGTCAGCCTGGGCACAGAATTACACCTATAAATGGTGGTGGGCCCCTATGATGTCCCCGACACTGGTAGCTTCTGCCCTGACACCCACGATCTCTACTCTTCCACCTACCCAAAACTGACTGTCTCTCTGCTGAAATATGGAGGACAGATTCACCCTGCCCAAGTCATGTTTGGAACCCTCTTCCTCCTTCCTTATCCATGTCCATTCATTTCATTCCCTAATTCACCATCAAACAGCAATCAATCTCTTCAAGTCTTACTGTAATCTATAAAATCTATATTGGTGATCATATCAGTTTTTTGACTTGAAGGATCATATGTTCTGTAGATTTTTTTTTTTCAGAATGTTCTGGACAATTAATTTTCTCTAGGCCAGATCACATTGCCTCCTTCCTCTGTCATCACACCGTCAGCTGCAGAGATATTCCATCTTCTGTCAGAACTGTACACGATTAATTTGTTTACAAACATGGAAAACAAAGGCCTGGACTCATGCTCTAGATACTATTTAAATTGAAGCAAAAAAATGTGGAAACAAACATCATTTAATATCGACCACTTGCATTGTCTTATCATTTATTTGTTCATGCATCAAGGTGGTAGAAAGGGGGGCATGGTGTCTGCCTTCAAAGACCCTCCACTCTAAACGAAGAAAAGGCCAATGAAGCAAACACATGACATAAAGTAAAATAAGAATTGCTACTGTGAATAAGGGTCAGGTATTGCCACAAAGCATACCTATGAGAATTTGAACTAGTCAGGGAAGTTACCTCATGAAGTTTGGATTTTGGGGGAAGAAGAGAATTAAAGAAACTAAAGTCAAGAGATATTTGGGCCTTTGAAGTAGAAGAGAGGCATAGGGTTGGTTTCTGTCCATTTGCTGAGCAACTTTTTTTCCTTTTCACAGTGGATATGACCTTGGATGCCAACACAGCCAACAACTTCCTCCTCATTTCTGACGACCTCAGGAGCGTCCGAAGTGGGCGCATCAGACAGAATCGGCAAGACCTTGCCGAGAGATTTGACGTGTCCGTTTGCATCCTGGGCTCCCCTCGCTTTACCTGTGGCCGCCACTGCTGGGAGGTGGACGTGGGAACAAGCACAGAATGGGACCTGGGAGTCTGCAGAGAATCTGTTCACCGCAAAGGGAGGATCCAGCTGACCACAGAGCTTGGATTCTGGACTGTGAGTTTGAGGGATGGAGGCCGCCTCTCTGCCACCACGGTGCCGCTGACTTTCCTCTTCGTAGACCGCAAGTTACAGCGAGTGGGGATTTTTCTGGATATGGGCATGCAGAACGTTTCCTTTTTTGATGCTGAAAGTGGTTCCCATGTCTATACATTCAGGAGCGTATCTGCTGAGGAGCCATTGCGCCCATTTTTGGCTCCTTCAGTTCCACCTAATGGTGATCAAGGTGTCTTGAGCATCTGTCCTTTGATGAACTCAGGCACTACTGATGCTCCAGTCCGTCCTGGGGAGGCCAAATAAGCCCTCACTCCAAAAAAACAAAAAACAGGGTAAGAAAATTACTTGGGTGGGTAGACTTAGGAACGCTCTACTTCGTAAAAGCATTATACAAAGTCACGGGAGAAAAATATGGGACATTTCTTGATTGTACTTAATCTAATTTGATTAGATTATAGAGTCCTAAGTATTAATTATTGCCACCATCAAACTCATTGAGTCCTATGGTTCACATCTTGTTTCCTATAGAAATGTCCTGTATTCTGGGATCAATTTCCAAATGCTTTACTTTTTTATTTCTGCAAGTTCAAATTAATGTATTATAGAAGTTATGAGTTAAATAAAGATTGGAATATCACCTAATGGATTATGTGACTTTCTTTCCTCAGCCTCCTGAGTAGCTGGGATTACAGGCACCCACCACCAACCTCAGCTAATTTTTTGTATTTTTAGTAGAGACAGGGTTTCACCATGTTGGCCAGGCTGGTCTTGAACTCTTTACCTCATGATTCACCCGCGTCGGCCTCCCAAAGTGCTGGGATTACAGGCATGAGCCACTGCACCCAGCTGGATTATGTGATTTTCTAAATGATAGGAGTGCAATATATTTTATTCATAGTAAAAGTGTGAGTGTGTGTGTATACGTGTGTGCATGTGTGGGTGTGTGTGTATTTGAACAGAGAGCTGGATAAATGCCTATGTCCTATCCAGAACTGAAAAGACAAGTTGTTGCCATCATTGCTCAGTATAGGTAACATTTTCCCGGATGTGTGTTCATCTACATTAACAATGGTAACTCCCCCCAGTTAATTATTGTAATTATTAATTGTAATTGTTACAATTAATAAATATGCAGGCTAACAAAGCAAAAAAAGATAACACACATTACTAATATCAGAAATAAAAGAGGGGCCATGTCTACCAAACTGTTGGTCATTAAAAGGATAATCAGGGACTGTTATGGATGACTCTATTCCCACAGTTTGATAACTAGGTGAAATGTATCAATTCCTTGAGAGACATAATCTTCCCAAGGTCACACTAGAAACAGCCTATTAAGTGAATTAACATTAAGAACATTCCAAAAAAAGACAACACCAGAACCAGGTGATTTCTCTTATGAAATCTACCAAATTCTTACGAATCCCAACATATTTTCACAATATAATCCAAAAATTGCGCTCTTAGGTATGTACTCAGTTGAGATGAAAAGTTACGTCCACACAAAGCCTGCACAGGAATGTTTACAGCAGCTTTATCTATAACCACCCAAACTAGAAGCAAGATGTTCAAGAGGTGAATGAAAAAAATCATCATCCATAAAACACAATATTATTCTGTGATTTAAAGGAGTTCTCCATCAAAGCATAGAAAAGACAATGGCATGTATCAGAAAGACTGTGAGGGCATGCCTTCATGTGGATGAGACACACAGAAAGGCAGCAGAGCAGGGTGACTTTAAGTATACTGATGAGTGAACTAAGTTCAGCTGAAAAAGCTGCATAATATTTGGTTGGTGCAAAAGTAATTGTGGTTTTTGGCATTTAAAGAATGGGAAAACCGCAATTACTTTTGCACCAACCTAATATATGACTCCAACTATATGACATTCTAGAAAAGGCAAAACCAAGGGAACAGTAAAAATATCCATAGTTGGCATGATTTCTGGAGAAGAGGACAGAGATTCATAAGTAAAGAAGAGGGAATTTTTGGAGCAGTGAGAATATTCCTTATGAGTTCGAAATGGTAAACATAACATAGTAAATATTTCAAAATTCATAGAAATGTGTAACAGGAAGAAAGAACACTATGTGAATGACAGACTTTAGATACTAATGTATCAATATTTGCCCATTAATTTTAGCAAATATAACACAGTAATGTAAGATGTGAATATTAGGTGGAATTATAAGGTAGGATGAGAGAAGAGAATGATGTGGGAACTTTGTGTATTACATGCTCAATCTTTATGTCAATCTAAAACTCTTGTTTAAAGAAACATATTCATTTTTTAAATTGTAATATAGCACGACTGTTTCAGGGAGATCTCTTCACAATAATGTTCAACAATTCAGTCACGTTTAGACATTAGCTTGAAAGATTGTCTTACTATTAAATGTGAATCAGAATTGACTTTTAAATGTGTATTTAATTTTGTGATTTCAGCAATACTTCTTGACTAGGCGAATAAAAACTAGCACATTTGAACATATGGCTTAACTTATTCATAGCTTCCTCTTACATATGGGACACTGACTATAATCCATAATTGTTATTCTTAAATCAACGTAATAAATTTCCATGGTACCTTCATGTGGGTGCACCTGGTGGTTTGCCCAGAGTCCAGGTTGTGTCATGTGCCTCTTGGTGTAGACACTGTATCTTCTGAAAGTCTCTATCAGAGAAGATCCTGGTTAATCTTTTTGCAATGCAGACAGCCATTGATACGTTACTGACAGAAAGACCAGAGGGAGAATTGTGATAATTGGTTCTAACTTCTGATCCCATTGTTTACTGGCTTCCAAGTAGAGCCATCTGAATCAAAGTTGGGTCTCAGGAAGATCATGGAGTTCAGTGAGCACTTTATAAGTGGATTAGAAAGACTAAGTGGGCGAGGCCGGGCGCGGTGGCTCACGCCTGTAATCCCAGCACTTTGGGAGGCCGAGGCGGGCGGATCATGAGGTCAGGAGATCGAGACCATCCTGGCTAACACGGTGAAACCCCGTCTCTACTAAAAATACAAAAAAAAAGTAGCCAGGTGTAGTGGCGGGCACCTGTAGTCCCAGCTACTCGGGAGACTGAGGCGGGAGAATGGCACGAACCCGGGAGGCGGAGCTTGCAGTGAGCGGACATCGCGCCACTGCACTCCAGTCTGGGTGACAGACTGAGACTCTGTCTCAAAAAAAAAAAGGAAAAGAAAAGAAAAAGAAAGACTGCGTGGGCGATGCCTTCACATAGATGAGACGATACAGAAAGGCAGAGGGCTGGTGTAGTGGGGGCCTGGACCCCAATCCCACTAGAGCCACGTAGACCTGGGAAGGTCATGTAATCCCTCGGCCCTCAGATCTCTGCACTGTCATGTTAAACTTTTCATAGGGCCTACTTATTAATCTCACAGTATGGGGCTAGAAAAATCACTAAATGCAGGAGAATATTAAGAAAGAGAATCAGAACTTCAGTAGTGATGTGTAAGGGTTTACTAAATGCCAGAAGGAATAAGCCGGAGACTTAGTAGTGGCTGAACACAGAGAGGCTGCTTGGGTGGCTCCAGGCCAGTGGAGGGTGGTTCCCTGTTCATCTTTTACGTGGGTGTGATGCCTTACAACTTCTGGAGGACATCTCCTATTATCTCCGGGACTCCCCACATCAGCCCGGCAGGGTGGGCACAGGAGGGGCTGAGTATCACTTAGAGATGGTGAGAGATTTGCAGAATCCCATTCTAATGAGTGAAGGATCTGGGGGGAGAAATGAATTTGGTTCCCTAGAGACAGAGTGCCCTGGACCACTGATCAAAGGGACCCCTTCACTCTCTTTCTCCAATCCTTTTATTCCAAGTTGTGTGGAAAGACAGAGTTCATGCTCAGGAAGAGTTGCCTGAGATGAAGACAGGTCCCTAATTAATAATCAACCACAGGAAAAACACCCACCTAGCAGCAGATGGCTCTGGGGCCAGGTGTAAGGCCCCCTCCATGCAGGGTTCTCCCAAAGCCTGCAACTCCCCTTTTCTTCATTCCTCCCCACACCCCTCCCAGCCACTCACCCATGCTCAGCTATGCTTTCTCTTGCTTTCCAAATAGCCAAGCTAGAGGAATACAGACAACTGGGCACTGCAAAGAGTTTCTTGGGAACACCAAACCAAAAGGAACAAGAAACATGACATGATTCATAATGGCCAAAAGGGGCAAACTATCTAAGTGTCCATCCGCCAACAAACAGATAAATAAAATTCTGTTGTTCCATACCGTGGAATATTGTTCACCCATAAAAAGAAAGAAAAATAATTAGTTTTCAAAAATAAAAATAAACAGAATAAACAATGATAGCATATGACTATAAAGGCAACAGAAAGAAAAGGAATGAAGTACTGATGTAATTTTTGTGCTACAACACGGATGCACCTAGAAAGCACGATGCCAAGAGAAAGGAGCCAGGCACAAAAGGCCATGTGTTGTGTGATTCCATTTCCATGAAATGCACAGAACAGGCAAATCCACAGACAGAATGGTAATTAGTGGTTGCCAGGGAGGGGCTGCAGGGAGAGGGGAATGAGATGTAATTGCTAATCAATGCTCCTGCTAATCAATACTCCAGCACCACTCCTGATTCGCTATGTGGTCAGGTTATCTCACTTCTCTGTCAGCTTCCTCATCTGTAAAACGGTGTGACTACTACCTACCTCATGGGCTGTTAAGAATAACGCCCAGAAAGCACTTAGTACAGTGCCCGGTACATGGCAAAAACACAATAGCTGGTCACCTTGTGGGGGTGATGGTTGCTGCCAAGGCTCAAATCAACTGGAAGAATGGAAGAGGAGGAGGAGGGGCCAAGGCAGAAAACTGATCAGAAGGCAGAGGTGGACAGGGGCAGGGACATCTTCAGCTCTGGGCACTTGCTGCCCCTCATACTGCGGATGCTAATCTGGGAGGCAGAGACATGCAGGCCCCGCCACAGTATGGGAACCACCAGGCCCTGAGTGTATGCACATGGCTCAGTTCCAAGCCCCAAGGGGACAGACATGGAGATGAGGGCACTGATGACCCTCATGCCTGTGCTGGGGCCAATGTGGAAGGGAGAAAGGGCATGAGCCCAGCAGACCTGGCAGAGTGTTGGGGAGGGAAGAGGGCACTGGATTCAGGAACAAAGACTCCAACAGGTGGAGTGAATGGGGGTGGCTTGAGAAGGAGCAGGTGTTGCTCACCTGTTCGCACCTGGCAGGGCTGACCTTGGGGTCACAACCCATCCCAGCACATGCTTTAAGAGGATTTCAGAGATTTGGGGCACCAACTCTAGACCTTTGATGATTCAAAACTCCCCACTCCCCACATGGCCGGGCGAGGTGGCTCATGCCTGTAATCCCAGCACTTTGGGAGGCCAAGGTAGGAGGATTGCTTGAGCCCAGGAGTTCGAGACCAGCCTGTGCAACATGGTGAAACTCCATCTCTACAAAAAAAATTAAAAATTAGCCAGGTGCGTGCCTGTAGTCCCAGCTATGCAGGAGGCTAAGGTGTGAGGATCACTTGAGCCTAGGAGGTCAAGGCTACAGTGAGCCGTGATCATATGACTGTACTCCAGCCTGGGTGACAGAGTGGAACTCTGTCTCAAAAAACAAAATAGGACTTCACAGAAAATGCAAAATGGCAATCCCCACCCCTAATTCAATCCCAGGGTTCATGGACGAAGAGAGCACCAGCCGTGGGAGAAAGCATCAGATGCCACTTAACAGCCTCACTATGCAGACAAGCACGTGGCGGCTGGAGAGCCGAGGGAGCTGCCCAAACCCCACAACAAGCCTCCCTTCTCTTCTCCAAAGAAGAGGCCCCATTTCCAAATCACCTCAGGCCAGGTTTGCAGGAAGTAAGCAGCAAGTCTCCAGAAGGGGCAGGGCGCGGTGGCTCACGCCTGTAATCCTAGCACTTTGGGAGGCCGAGGTGGGCGGATCACCTGAGGCCAGGAGTTCGAGACCAGCCTGGCCAACATGACAAAATCCTGTCTCTGCTAAAAATACAAAAAATTGGCCAGGCATGGTGGTGGGCACCTGTAAACCCAGCTACTTGGGAGGCTGAGGCAGGAGAATTACTTGAACCCGGGAAGCAGAGGTTGCAGTGAGCCGAGATCGCACCACTGCACTCCAGTCTGGGTGACAGAGCAAGACTCTGTCTCAAAAAAAAAAAAAAAAAGAAAAAAGAAAGAAAGAAAAAAGAAAAAAAAAGAGGGGGGTTAGGGCACTGCGTGAAGTGATCCACATACACTATAATCTCATTTAATCCCAGAATCCGTTGAAGGAAATACTTTTTTTTTTCTTTTCTTTTCATTTTTTTGGAGATGGAGTCTTGCTCTGTCACCCAGGCTGGAGTGCAGTGGCGTGATCTTGGCTCACTGCAGCCTCCACCTCCCGGGTTCATTTCTCCTGCCTCAGCCCCCCGAGTAGCTGGGACTACACGTGCACGCCACCACGCCCAGCTAATTTTTGTATTTTTAGTAGTGATGGGGTTTCGCCATGTTGGCCAAGCTGGTCTCAAATTCCTAACCTCAGGTGATCTGCCCACCTCAGCCTCCCAAAGTGCTGGGATTACAGGCGTGAGCCACCACCCCCACCCCTCCACTCAGATTGTCTAAAGAGTTCCTAACAGCTCCCCCTCCCACAGTTTAGAGATGCTGACATTGTTTTTTTTTTTTTTATTTCTATTATAAGAGTAAATCTAATATTGAGAAAGACCAGAGCAGAGATAAAAAGAAAACTGAAACAGGAAAAAACAATAGTAAATACAGAAACCAAATATGGCGGGTTGGTTGCTGTTTTGTTGTTGGAGTTTTTTTTAAAATGAACTGAATTTGTCATCCTCTGCACAAACTTCACAAAAGGAAAAGAAGAAAAGGAGAAAAATAGAAACAAAAGCAATAAAAAAATGGCAAAGTAATACAAGAACTTTTTAAAAAAAAAAAGGAATATATGCTTACGGTAAAAGATAATTCAAAATATAGAAGGGTACGAAGTAAAAAATAAATCTGTTTTTACTCGCCGCCCCGCCCCCCGCCAGTTATTCCTTATCCTTAGACCTATTAGCCAGAGTTTGCTACTCTTGGCAGAAGGAAACTTTTTATTGTGTTTTTCACATTGCAAGCGATGGTATCCATTTTCTGAAGGAGAAGATGGAATTTAGAAAATTCCCAGCAGCATCTAATTTGCTAAAAGATAATGAACATCATATGAAAATTAAGTGCTTTCCTGGATCCTGACAAAATAAAGATATCAATCAAAGAAACTCCCCAAAGGAAGTCCAGATGGCCATGCAATTGAACTTTATCATGCTGATAGGTCTGGCAATCCCCAATGCCCTTGAAATACCCAGGAAAACCATCCAACAGAAAGCAATACCTGATAAATATAGTGATTCTTTATAAAGCCAACCCGAAACTGGAGGAAATCTTGTAAAACTGTTACCTCGTTCAGTAATCCTAATGAACCCAGGAGCAAACTTTCTCCTCAACCAATCCTTTAAACATAGCCACAGATCCATCTGAATTCAGGGGGTCTTTTGCAGGCAGGATAGTGCAGTGTCTCACACAACATATGAGAGTATCATTCATCATACAAAGTGGATCATCCCAAACCATTTGACTATGTCATAATTCCAAATTTCAGAAGCATGTGAAAAATCAATAGGACACTGCTACGGTCCCAATGTTTGTGTCCCTCTAAAATTTGTGTTAAAACCAGCTGGGTGTGGTGGTTCATGCCTGTAATCCCAGCACTTTGGGAGGCCAAGGCTGGTGGATCCCTTGAGGTCAGGAGTTTGAGACCAGCCTGGCCAATATGGTGAAACCCTGTCTCTACCAAAAATATGAAAAATTAGCCAGGTGTGGTGGTGCGTGCCTATAATCCCAGCTATCCAGGAGGCTGAGGCAGGAGAATCACTTGATCCCAGGAGGCAGAGGTTGCAGCGAGCTGAGATCATGCCACTATACTGCAGCCTGGGTGACAGAGCAAGGCTCTGTCTCAGAAAAAATAAATAAATAAAAATTAAAAAAGTAAAAAATTGTGTTAAAACCAAATCCTCACTGCAGTGGTATTAAGAGGTGGGCCCTTTAGGAAGTGATTGGGTCATGGGGGCTCCACCCTCTTGAATGGGATTAGTGCCCTTATGAAGGAGGCTTGAGGGAGTCTTGCCCTCCATGTGAGGACACAGAAGGCGCCATCTACGAGGAGCAGGTCCTCGCCAGACACTAAATCTGCTGGTGCCTTGCTCTTGGACTTCCTAGCCTCCAGAAAACTGTGAGCAATAAATTTCTGTTTGTAAATTACCAGTCTAAGGTATTTTGCTATAGCGGCCCAAATGGACTAAGACAAACATACTGGCCTTTACCTAAACCACCTATGAAATTTGAAAGGCTGAAATATTAAGAAATGAGCAAAAGGTAACTGAAATACCACTAAAGTCAGATGCCAGCCTATCTGTGTCCTTTGTTATTTAATATAACATAGAGTGGTGGTGGGGGCAGGAGAAATAACTGATTTCATTAGGAAAAAGCAAATTAAAAGACCCACTGTTGTTATTCAAAAAGAGAGGCTTGGAATAAGATTGGCACAACAGGATGCTACTGCGTTCTATCATAGCGTGCTCCTGAAAACCAGGCCATACATCAGATCCTTGAGAAGCAAATCCTATTTACCCAATAGGAATGATGTTATAATTGAATCAAGCTTGCTTTGCTGATCAAGTATTGGGCATTAAACTAATCCTATGTAACTTCTCCTCCCCTGCCCCGATGCAAGCTGACATGACAGCCAGCCACAAGGAAGAGAGATTTCTGTGGCTCTCTCCAGCCCTCCACCACGGTCTCCTGGGCCTCAGCACCTCAGGAGGAAAGGGTAACTCTTTCAACCTTGTGAGGAACCTCATGAAGAACCACACTCAGAGGTCTTCCCTGCCACGCTGCCTCCCATGACCTAGTAAATGTTCAGGTACTAGTGCATGGTGCACATCTCTTCATTCAACAGATTGCTGGCTTTGTGTGTGTCTATGGTCTCACACATGAAAAGGAACACAGAATTGTAGACAACTAACTATACAATGCAGTGTGGCGAGCTTTCCTAGAATATGCTGAGATAAACATGAAATATATTTCACTGAATCTTAAACACCATTATTTTATGTATCAACAAGAAAGAAAAAAAATACTTCCAACTACAAGATGCCATCAATGGCAAAGTGCATCCTGATTCCAGAGATGAATAAGAATGTCTGTGTTAGAATGGTGAAATGTGGTAATTAACTTTTAAAGAAGTGATTAGTACTATCTTTCAGCATGAACCAAGCCTTACTATGGATGCTGAGAAAAGGTAGTAATTATTTCTGCTGGAGTGACTGGAGGAGGTATCACAAAGGAGGTGACATTTGACCTGAGTTTCAAAGGATTTTGTCAGTGGGAGAAAGAGTGGGAAGAGTGTTCCAAGTTGAAGGAATAGCATGAGCAAAGGTATAGAGGCAGAACAGTGGTCCATGTTTATGGGCCAGCTAATATATTCTAAGTAGTTAGAATATAAAGGGTGCAGGGAGAGAGAGCTGGTGCTAAAGCTGGAAACATTGGAGCCACATTGTAAATGGCTTATAATACCAGACATGGGAGTTTGTACCCCAGAGGTAACAGGGAGCCATTGAATGCATTGAGCTGGCGGGGGGTGGGGGGGTGACGTGATTTGGAAAGGTCAGTTTGGCAGGGTAAATGAAGAATAGCATGGAGAAGTGTAAGAATAGAGGCAGGAATAGATACAAGTGAGACCACAACGAGCCAGGTTGGGGGTGGGTGGAAAGAAAACCATACATTCAGATCTTCGTGATGACGTCAGATTTTTTAAAGGTTAAGGCAACCATATGGCAATGAGAATAAAATATCTACAGTCATATACAACAATATGGGTGAATTTCACAATGTTGAGTGAAAGAAGCCAGACACAAAGAGGACAGACAGGGATTCCATTTATATCAAGCCTGAGAAGAGGCAGAACCAAAATCTACAGTGTTAGCGGTCAGCATGGTGGTCATCCCGGGGAAGGTTAGTGACTGGCCAACAACATGACTTTCAGGTGCTGGTAACGTTCTGGTTCCTGATGCTGGTTACATGAGTGTGTTCACTTTGGGAAAATTCACTGAACTGTTTGTTATATTTCAATAAAATTTATGAAACATACTTAGGGCCATGGAAAGAACTGGAAGTCAGGATCTGGAACGGAGGTAGCAGGAAGCTGTTGGACCCTGCAGGTGTTCAATCGTAGAATGAGCTGAAGCATTGGGATAATGCCATGGACCACAAAAGGGACTTCGTATGGTGCATTAGGAGAAAGCATGGGTGGATGTTGAAAAGAATGCAAAACTTTCTCATCTCCAGGCCTGTCACAGAGACACACAGGATGTACCGGTAGAGAATGACCAGGAAACAGGAGATAGTGGAGCAAGCATAAAATGAAAGACGAGGAGACTGTTAGAGGGCACCTAGATGCTTTCAATGAGCCTATGTCTCTAGGGCCAGAGTAAGTACCTGTCAAGACAGCAGGACACTGTAGCTGGGATCCAGAAAGAGCACCTGAAGGATCTTTGGGAGATGAGTGAAGGGAAGGGTTAGGTGGCAGGGGATGCAGCAGGGTTCAGGTTTCCTGAGAGCCCAAAACGGTGACTTCAGCAATAGGGGATTCGGGTGTTTATCGTCAGCAGCGTTTGAGAAGAGCTGATTGTACAAACAATGTGTGATCACACAGAGGAGAGCAGAGCTCCCTAGGAGTGGGTGTGTTCACCAAGAACCGACCCAGTTACAACCACCCTAATTCATGGAATTATTCATCTGACAGCTCAGAGAAATTAGGACATAGCACATATCAAGGTTTCAGCACAGGCTTTAGGAAGACTTTTCATGATTTTCAGGAGTACAAGACACAGAAATGAGGACTACAGAATGTGGAAGTTGGGAGCAATTTTCAGTAGGTTTAATTGTAGGACCAGAGGGGGCAGATGACTCCCAGTGTGGCCAGTCACAGGGCTGTGCCTTTGGCTTTCTCCTATTTAACATTTTGACTAATGCTTTAGGACAAGAAAGAAAATCTGATTGTGCAAGGACAATGGCATTAACCGAGAGAGACGGTGAATATGAGTGACAACTGAGTGTGGTTTACACACACACACAGACACAAACACAATTGCAGCTCCACCCTGCCAGTCTGAATCCTATATATTAGTTTGGTGCAAAAATAATTGCAGTTTTTGCCACTACTTTCAGTGGCAAAAACTGCAATTACTTTTGCACCAAACTAATATATATATGTATGTATATATATGTATGTATGTTTGTGCGCGCGCGTGCATGTGTGTGTGTGTGTGTGTGTGTAGTTTGTTTTGTTTTAAAGAAGAAAGATAAGACCTTGCTGCTGTTAAGAGTTAGAGTAGAGGCAGGCATGGATAACAATCAAATTGGGAAAAGGGTGTTAAAAACTGGACCCAGTTCCTGGGAGGAGGCAGCTCTGGAGGGCAGATCTGAGCAGCTCTGGGTTGCAGGGGGTGTCAGCCCAATAAGGAAGGACAGCAGACAGCAGTGAGAGGCCTGGTTAGCTTCCCAGAATCAGGATCCTGTTCCAAGGGATGGAGCGTCTTGTTGACAGGCAATCAGATGGACCATGGAGCCCCAAAATCCCCAGAAAGGAAGTGGGCACCATCTGTCAACCTCTGAGCTGGGGTTTGGAGACTGACTTCTATGTGTAGGCAGAGGGTTTGGGAGAAAAGATTGCTAAGGAAACAGGATTATGGAAACAAGATAATATTTTAAACCATACAGACTTGGACTAATGTGGATGTTTCATCATTTCCTGGAGGTGCAACCTGAGCGCGTTGCTTTCTAAGTCTCTTTTACATCTCTTAGAAGGTAGACGTGTTCATGGGAATCAAGTGTTTTCCACATCCTGGGACTTGGCCAATGCATTTTATTCCAATTAATAAGAAGCACAATGATTACTCTAGCCAATTCTCATCCTCTCTTCTGCTTATACCCTGGCCTGCCCACCAAATGTGCTTATTGTAGCAGAGTCTCCTAACCGGTATTACTGCTCACACTCTTTCCCCCGCTGATTCTCCACTCTGCAGCCAGGGTGATCCTGTTAAAATACATCAGATCATGTCACTGCTCTACCCAGTAGCCCCCACACGGTCCCACCTGCCTTTGACCTTGGGTCCCATTGCTTTTCCCTTTGCCCACTCTGTTCCACCGCATTGGCTTCCACACTGCTCCTTGAACATGCCAGGCACACTCCTGTCTCAGAACCTCTGCTCTTGCTGTTTCTCTGCATGGAACACTATTCGCCTTTCTTAACTTACCTTCTTTGTGTCTTTGCTGAGAAGTCACCTTAGTGTGTCTTTCCCTCACCTCCCTATTTCAAATTGCAGCCCCACGCTGCCAGTCTCAATCCTCTTCCCTGTGTTTTTGTTCACCATGGTACTTTTCATAAACAGACATACTAACATATCTTCTTCCTATTTATTGTCTCTCTTTCTCTACTAGAATGTCAATTCTACAAGGGCAGGGATTTTGGTCTGGTTTTTTTCCTTCCTATATCTTCAACTCCTAGGACACTGCCCAGCAGGTAGTATGCCCTTCAAAACACTGGTCGAAGGAATGAATGATTATCATAAAGCAAGATGCTGGACCCCAGCTCTGGAGGAACATGCATTCTAGGCTGGTGACTGAGGCAGGAGCTCAGACTCAGGAAGCACATCAGGGACCCAGTTGCTCAAACTGTAACACCAGGTCAGAGTAAGATCTTGGAACCATAGTGATGTCCAGGCATCAGGAGTGGGCTGTGAGATCAGAGATTGGCCTGGAGCCATGCCGATGGAGAGTGAGATTGGTGCCCCCTGGGTCAGGGCAGATTCCAGGTCATGCATCTTGGGGCCAGGTTGCCCTACCATAAATGGAGACAGAGGGGCTGTAGGGTAGGATGTCAGGCAGGGTCTTTAACCCCTTAGTAAATGTCAGGCAAAGTTACCCAGCTTTCAACTTATTCCCAGATGTAGGTGTCAGTGGACACTCTATATTGGCACAGCTTACAAGGAGAACACAAATGACTAAAGGAAAGAATGAAAAAAACAAGGGAAAATGCTCATTCAGAAACCTGAGCTGAGGGTTTGAGGAATGGCAGGTGCCAGAAGCCTATGACTAGAGGATATTTGTGATGTCAAGTGAGACAGCAGTTGAGCAAATATATGGGGATTATACTTGTCCTCTGGACCATTTCTTTCCCTCCCTCCCTCCCTTCCTCCCTTCCTTCTTCCCTTCCTGGAGGAGATAATCTGGTGAGCTCTGCTCATGCAAACCCTCCAGCCTGGGGAAAAGGAAATGCCAAGTGGAGCCGGGAGAGGTGGTGTCTACAGAAGCCTAGAAAGAGAAGTTAGGGCAGAGAGAATTTGGCCTAGTCTCCCTGGCTCTGTCCAAGGTACTTTCTAGCAGTTCCGCTCAGCCTCCAATCTCATCTTCCTGTTTCCTAGTAACTCAGCCTGGATTCAGGGCTGCCCTTGCCTCACTCCAGTAGAGCTGGTGTGTGGCCATCATCCACTCCAAATCCCTCACCATATGCCGGAGGAAACCGATGACCAGAGCAACTGAGTCAGGGCGGTGCTCCTCCTGCAGAGGAAACTTGCAGTCCCACATCCCTGGCTCCCACTGCACTGTGCACGGAGTTCCTGCTGGCTCTGGATTCTGGTCCTTTAGTAGCTCTGTGTGCTTCCACTAGCTACAGAACCTCTTTGCACACCAGTGTATTCACCTGTAAAGTAAGGGTGAGTAATGCAGTATGCTTACACGGCCGTTGTGGGGATTACGTTATAAGGCGCATAGTAAGTACTCAGCGAAGGTCAAACTCCCATTCTTGTTACAAGGTCGTCGATATCTCCCACAGTCCCTGGTTCAGGCTCAAGTATGTTTTGTGTTTTGATGTCCTACTGCGTTCCTCGCATTAATCAGCCCCTGGGACTTTATAGATTAATGACCACGATTTCCATTTTTTTTTTTTTTTCCTTTTTTGAGACGGAGTCTCCCTCTGTCGCCCAGGCTGGAGTGCAGTGGCGCGATCTCCGCTCACTGCAAGCTCCGCCTCCCGGGTTCATGCCATTCTCCTGCCTCAGTCTCCCGAGTAGCTGGGAATACAGGCGCCTGCCACCACGCCCGGCTAATTTTTTATATTTTTAGTATAGACGGTGTTTCACCATGTTAGCCAGGACGGTCTCGATCTCCTGACCTTGTGATCCGCCCGCCTCGGCCTCCCAAAGTGCTGGGATTACAGGCTTGAGCCACCGCGCCCGGCCGATTCCCATTCTTTAAGTATGCAGAGGCACAAGGAACCCAAGGTCTTAGGTCAGCTCACTCGGGTACATCTGGCCCGGGACTGCTTTGGCTAAGATTGGCCAGTGAGACCTGGCAGAGAGAGGGCCAAGTCCAGGGGAGCCCGCGGCCCCGCCCTGGCCTGAGGACAGTGCTCCCACCCCCCAGGAGACTTCTAGGACGGGGCTCGTCAAGAATGGGGACGCGGGGAGGTCAAATGCCTGGAGGGGGCGGTAGCGCACATAAGGTTGGGGCCCCAGCTTTGCCTGGGGTTGGCAAAGGGCGGTCGCCCCTTCCGGAGGGGAGGAAAGGGGTGTCCTCAGGCAAGGCCCTCAGGGCCGGGCAGCCTGGCACCAACGGGCGTTCGAGCACTGGGGGGCGTCTTCGGTGACCCTCTGGACTCGGTCAGGGGCTGGTGGGCGCCAGAGCAGAACAGGAGAGCGGAGGCTGCAGATGCCTCTGGGACGCCCTCGTGGAACGTTCGCCTGCCCAGACCTTCCCCTCCAAACCACCGTGCAGGTGCTACAGGCAGCGCTTGGCGGAGCGGCGGCGGCGGCGGCCACTGCGTGTGTCAGTGCGCGGTCGCGGTTCCCAGATGGCTGTTCCCGGGCGCTGCGGTGCCTGGAGGTCAGCTGTCGGCGGGCAGCGGCAGCCGGAGCGGCTGAGGGCCGGGGGCGTATGTGTGCGTGTGCTGGGAAGGTGGCCCTCCCCGCGGCCGTCACAGCGCCAGCGCCTCCCCCTCCCCGGGCGCGCAGGGCTAGTCCCCGTTGCTGGAGGCATCCCGAGCCGCCGCTGAGCAGCCTCGCCTTCGCCTCCCGCGTTTCCTGCCGTCCGCCCTCCCCAAGTCGGGCTCCAGGGAACAGAAGAAAAAAGGGGTCAAAGGTGGCGCTACAGGTCCTCTGCACGGAGCAGAGAGAGAGCAGGAGGCCCAGGATGTGCAGATGTGCCGGCTGGAGTCTCTGCTGCAGGCCACACCCTGCGCAGGACCATGTGGCTGCGTGGGGCACAAGGGGAGGCCTGGGCCAGACTCTGTGGCTGCAGCTTCAGGAGACACTCCACCTGCTCTCCGGGTGCACTGGATGAGGACAGCACTGTCCTTCCCTGGTCTAAACTGGACCAGGGCTAGGAGAAAGGGCAGGAGCCAGGAGGAAAAGGATCATATGAGCAGACCACCCTAGAGAACCTCTGCAGCCCTCCGCAGGCCTCTAGTCGGGGGTCTGGGCCTCCCCTGCACGTATCTCAGAACAATGGACCAAATCTACCCACATAGGTAAATCCTCACACTGGGAAAATTAAGCCTTTACTGGACAAGCAGCTTTCAGAACTGACGCATGCTTTATGGTTTACGCCTAAGCCAGCAGAGATTCCGAGTTCAGTGTGAACCTTGGGTCACAGAGTCAGAAAATAGGAGAGCTGGACCTCCACCCTGAGATCTCTGACTCCCATTGGGAGGCGACGTCTGTGTGATTCACAAGCACTTGAGAAAATGATCCAGGCAGGAGATGAAAATGCAAAAAGCCATCGTGCCAGCACGGCACACCCACGTGAAAGACTCGTGTGCCAAACATGAATGGTGGGGTTATGGGGTAAAACAAGAGATCCAGAATCAAGTGCCCAGAGGTCACAGGGAGGAGAGGGCTGGCTCTCCTTGGGAGACCAGCTGTGGGATCACACAGGAGGCAACGGCTGATCTAGGCCTCCAGAAGAGGCCAGCAGTGACCTGCCAGAGAAACGGTGAAGAGGAGGCACAGAGGCAGGAACGCGGAGGAAGGTGGCCAACGCGACCAAGAGACCACCGGTGTCGCTGATGCCCAGGAGAGACATAACACCGTTGGAGGGCGTGGAGTAGGCTCACAAAAGGAGAGGGTAAGGCCAGGCACGGTAGCTCACACCTATAATCCCAGCACTGTGGGAGGCCAAGGTGGGCGGATCACTAGAGGTCACGAATTTGAGACCAGCTTGACCAACATGGCAAAACCCCATCTCTACTAAAAATACAAAACATTGGCCAGGCATAGTAATGAGCGCCTATAATCCCAGCTATTTGGGAGGCTGAGGCAGGAGAATCGCTTGAACCCAGGAGGCAGAGGTTGTAGTGAGCCAAGATCATGCCACTGCACTCCAGCCTGGGTGACAGAGGGAGACTCTGTCTCAAGAAAAAAAAAAAAAAAAAAAAGGAGACGACGGGAGGGTTAGGGCACTGCATGAAATGATCCACATACACTAAAATCTCACTTAATCCCACAATTCATTGAAGGAAATAGTTTTTTTTAACTTTTTTACATTTATTTATTTATTTATTTATTTATTTTGAGATGGAGTCTCGTTCTGTCGCCCAGGCTGGACTGCAGTGGCATGATCTCAGCTCACTGCAACCTCCACCTCCCAGGTTCAAGTGATTCTCCTGCCTCAGCCCCCTGAGTAGCTGGCATTACAGGTACACGCCACCACGCCCGGCTAATTTTTGTATTTTTAGTAGCGACGGGATTTCACCATGTTGGTCAGGCTGGTGTCAAACTCCTTGAGCTCATGATCCACCCGCCTGGGCCTCCCAAAGTGCTGGGATTACAGACGTGAGCCATCGCATCTGGCCTTGAAGAAAATAATATAAACCCCTTCTACAGATGGGAAAATGAGGCTCAGAGAGGTTAAGCTGCCCAAGGTCATGTTGCTGGAAAGTAGCAGAGTGAGACTTGGACACAGGCCTCGCTCCAGGGTCTTTGGCCTGAACCACGGTGCTACACTCCCTCGGATGAAGAGAAGGAGCCCGCTGCAGAGGAGCTCCCACAGCTCACGGCTTCCCAGAGTGGACGCATGCATCCCTGCTGGCCCCCGAGGGCACCTGGGGTGGTCTTCACTGTAGTAGTCACTTACTGAGCTTTGAGAGACCCTCTTTGTGGCAGGCTACCCTCATTTTCCTTTTATGGTAGTGACGTAAAGGTGCCTTCTGAAATAAGTCCATTGAAGTTTTAAAACCTGAACCAGTTGAAGGAAATCGTTATGTCCCTGAGACAGGTGATGCACACACAGGACAGTGACGGTGCTGTGTGGACAGTGATGCTGGGAAAAGGTGCCATACACCAAACTTTCTCTCGGGGGCAAAGGGAGGAAGCCAAGGGGCCCGAGGTGGGGTGCCCGTAACCTGTAGGGCTTTGCTGGAGGACTCTGTGAGCAGCAGAGAGAGAATGGAGCAGCTGGAAGGGAGGTGCCGGGTGAAGAATGAAATGGGGCCGAGGGGCACTGCACTCCACTGCGCTCACAGCCACAGAAATGACATGAAAGAGTCAGAGTCATGAGGCATTTCACAAGCAAAATTAAGAGGGCTTGGTGAAGGAAGTAAAGGAGGGGCCGAGAGCTAAACACACCAAGAGACCTGGGTTTCAGAAAACAGAATGACCAACGCTTCAGCCGTGATACAGACGGAGGAGGAGAGTTGGCTTTGCAAGAAGCAGATGATAAGGTGCTCTCTCTGGACACGCGGCAAGTCAGGGGCTCCTGGGACACCCAAATGGGATCAGAACAGAAACCTAAGCAGAAAGACAAGTGTAACAAGAACAGAGGTGGAAACTGAGGCCATTCGAGGAGTGGAGGCCCTCAGGGACAGCACGTAGGGCTTTTGGGGTGTTGTTGTGTTGTTGTTTGAGATGGCGTCTTGCTCTGTTGCCCAGGCTGGGGTGCAGTGGCACAATCTTGGCTCACTGCAACCTCTGCCTCCTGGGTTCAAGTGATTCTCCTGTCTCAGCCTCCCAAGTAGCTGGGACTACAGGAACCTACCACCACGCCCGGCTAATTTTTCGTATTTTTTGTAGAGACGGGGTTTTACATTGTTGCCCAGGCTGGTCTCAAGCTCCTGGGCTCAGGCAGTACTCTTGCCTTGGCCTCCCAAAGTGCTGGGATTGTAGCCATGAGCCGCTGCGTCCGGCCAATCACAAAGTTTCTAAAGTAAGAAATGGAATGCTATTCCATCCCCAACTGCTTGTAGCAGCTTGCTTTGTCTCTGCCTCGACAAACACAGAGGTCTAAGCTCACACTCCCACAGTTACACTCACATATCTACACTTTGGCTTTTTCTTTTACTTTTTAAAAAATTTATTTTCTGGCCAGGCGCTGTGGTTCACGCCTGTAATCCCAGCACTTTGGGAGGCCGAGGTGGGAGGATCACGAGGTCAGGAGATCGAGACCATCCTGGCTAACACGGTGAAACCCCGTCTCTACTAAAAATACAAAAAATTAGCCAGGTGTGGTGGTGGGCGCCTGTAGTCCCAGCTACTCGGGAGGCTGAGGCAGGAGAATGGCGTGAACCCAGGAGGCGGAGCTTGCAGTGAGCCAAGATCGCACCATTGCACTCCAGCCTGGGTGAAATTGCGAGACTCCGTCTAAAAAAAAAAAAAAATTTATTTTCTATTTTTTTTCCCCATGACATAGCTCCAGGAGATCCTAAGAACATGTGCCCTACAGTTTGGCTTTTAATCTTATGATTGCAAAGCTGGGATCATGCTGCAGACACCACTCTGCAACATATCCTTCCCACCAACCCAGCGCCCACCCAACCCCCTCAGTGTGGGCCATCTTTCCCATTCGGGACACACAGCACAGTCTCTTTCTTCTCTCATCGCCTCACAGGCCTGAACAGAGGGCCAGAGAGGTGGAGTCCTGCAATTTACCTGCTCAGTCTCCCATCATAGGACCCTGGACAAGTCACTCCTCTCCCAGAGCCTCAGTTTTCCTGCAGGAAAGAGGAGGTGCTCAGAGACAAAGCGGATGAAACCATTTCTGGGCTTCCTGTATCTCAAAAGAAATCCTCTTCCTGCGGCCGGGCATGGTGGCTCACGCCTGTAATCCCAGCACTTTCGGAGGCTGAGGCAGGTGGATCAGCTGAGGTCAGAAGTTTGAGACCAGCCTGACCATCATGGAGAAACCCCGTCTCTACTAAAAATACAAAATTAGCCAGGCGTGGTAGTGCGTGCCTATAATCCCAGCTACTTGGGAGGCTGGAGAATCGCTTGAACCCGGGAGGTGGAGGTTTCGGTGAGCCGAGATCGCGCCACTGTACTCCGGCCTGGGAAACAAGAGCGAAACTCTGTCTCAAAAAAAAAAAAAAAAAATCCTCTTCCCCTGTCAGGCCTTAGTAGCAGCACCCTTGGGGCAGCCTAGAGCGGGGAAGGTTCCTGGGGGCGGTTCTGACCCACATCACATTAATAATGTCACCCAAGTCCATTCCCATGGGACCAGGCCACTGGGACAAAGGGCCAGGTCTCCGGTCTTCCATGTCCTACCTCTACCTCCTTTGCTTCCTCCAGAGTGCCCAGAGAAATGCAAATGGCCCACGGCTGCTGCCTTCTGAGGTCACCTGGCCATGCCCCAAGTAGTCTGGGAACCCATGCTGAGCCTGGAGAATCCTCACTCTCCCACCTGCCTCTCCATTCTTCAGGGGAAAAACTGCAAAAGAACTGTCGGATAAACCTGGATTTGGATGCAGGCTTTCTACCTTGGACGAGTTACCTGAACCTCCTGCATCTCGGTTTCTTCTTTGCCAAATGGGGACAATACTTCTTTCTTTAAAGGCTTTACTTTGAGGATGAGGTGAGAGGGAAGCCATCCTCCTCCCTATCCCCCAAGTATCACCGGCCAGTGAGATCCAGCTATTATCACCTCTGGTGATGCTGGTTGCCAACAACCCAAGGACCCCTGTTACTGAGCTCTAACCAGACCCTCCCTCTCTTATCCAACACACACTTTCAAGGGAAACAGAAATCACATAGAGGAGGCCAGGTGGGCATGGTGGTTTGTACCTGTAATCCCAGCACTTTGGGAGGGCGAGGTGGGTGGATCACCTGAAGTCAGGAGTTAAAGACCAGCCTGGCCAACATAGTGAAACCCTGTCTCTACTAAAAATACAAAAATTAGCTGGGCATGGTGGTGCACACTTGTAATCCCAGCTACTTGGGAGGCTGGGGCAGGAGAATCACTTGAACCCGGGAGGTGGAGGTTGTAGTGAGCAGAGATTGTGCCATTGCACTCCAGCCTGGGCAACAAGAGCAAAACTCTGTCTCAAAAAAACAAAAAACAAACAAACAAAAAAAAGGTAGGGCACTGTGGCTCACGCCTATAATCCCAGAACTTTGGGAGGCCGAAACAAAGAAGAAAAGAAATCACACAGAGGAAATAAATTGGCTGGCTCTATTCTCAACCTCGGTTCCATCCGTCCACTGGCTAACTCAGAGGACAGCCCAAGTCCAGCCACGACCCACTGTCCAGCCTCCTTTCCTGTGGGGAACCAGCTGAGGTCTCCAGGATGACACGCAGGCCCGAAGTCTTACTCCCAGTCTTGGCACTAACTTGCTATGTAGCTTCAGTTACTTCTCCACCCTGAGCTCATCTCCTGTGGCTCCTCCTGCACTCGAACCCCAAACCCCAGGGCACCACCAGCCCTGAGCAGGAGGTCTGGAATATAATAGGTGCTAAGTGAATGCAGTACAAATAGTTGCTTTTTTTTTTTTTTTTTTTTTTTGAGTCAGGGTCTCATTCTGTCACTCAGGATGGAGTGCAGTGGCATGATCATAGCTCACTACAGCCTCAACCTCCTGGGCTGAAGCAATTCTCCCACCTCAGCCTCCCGAGTAGCTGGGACTACAGGTGTGGATCACCATATCTGGGTAATTTTAAATTATTTTTTGTAGAGATGGGTTCTTGCTATGTTGCCCAGGCCAGTGCCCAGGCTCTTAATTTTAAAGACTTGGCAAAGTTGACAATCTACAGGACCATGGGACCACCCTTCTCCTCCCAACACCCCACCATCCTGAGTAGCTCCCAACTGCCCCCTTCTGTGTAAGTTGTGGCTGGTTTAGCACCTCCAAGAGCCTCCGAGCTTCTATGATGGTCAACTCTTTGGTGAAACCGTGAGTGCAGATGAGGAGAGTGTGAAGACATTTCCTGCTGTATTAAAATAGTGGGTTCATCAAGAAGGCTATATCCTGGATCTGATTTTAATTGTGATGAAAACAGTCTTTATTAAAAGCAAAAGTTCTCCAGGACCTACATCTCAAAGGAAGAATCAGGACTTGGGGCTTAAAGCCGCAAACATTGCCTGGTTGTGAGGCCAGGTACAAATGCTGGTGGAGGTTTAACTGGGAGGAATTGTTATCATGATCATTGTTTGGTTAGTGGTCTAGTTTTGATGTTTCATAGATTTTTTTTTTTTTTTTAGACGGGAGTTTTGCTGTTGTCGCCCAGGCTGGAGTGCAATGGCGCGATCTCAGCTCACTGCAACCTCCGCCTCCTAGATTCAAGTGATTCTCCTGCTTCAGCCTCCCAAGTAGCTGGGATTACAGGCACGCACCACCACACCTGACTAATTTTTGTATTTTTAGTAGACACGGCGTTTCACCATGTTGGCCAGGCTGGTCTCGAACTCCTGACCTCAGGTGATCCACCACCTCAGCCTCCCAA
This sequence comes from Homo sapiens, assembly GCF_000001405.40. Taxonomy (NCBI): domain Eukaryota; kingdom Metazoa; phylum Chordata; class Mammalia; order Primates; family Hominidae; genus Homo; species Homo sapiens. The sequence continues at coordinate 32,169,270 of NC_000022.11, read as the reverse complement.
AGTGCTGGGATTACATGCATGAGCCACCACACCCAGCCAGTTCCATAGATCTTGAGGGGTCCTTCCCAGCCTCACTTTCTCATAAGCCCTGTTAGTTGTGGTGCATGCTTTTGTAGAGCAGAGAGCATCAGGAACATGCATATGATGTCAGATCAGAAGCTGTAGTGATTGCTGTACTGACTGTTGTTACTGAATGCATGCACCCAGGTGTGTGTTTTTGCAATTCCCGTTTCCAGGAACACTTGATTCCATCACCTGGAAAAATCTAGGTGATATGGTTTGGCTCTGTGTCCCCGCCCAAATCTCATCTGGATTTGTAATCCCTACATGTCAAGGGAGGGAGGTGATTGGATCATGGGGACAGTTTCCCTCATGCTGTTCTCATGATAATGAGTGAGTTCTCAGAGATTTGATGGCTTTATAAGTGTTTGGAAGTCCCTGTCACTCTTCTCTCTCCTGCTGCCTTGTGAAGAAGATGCCTGCTTCCCTTTCCGCCATGATTATAAGTTTCCTGAGGCCTCCCCAGCCATGTGGAAACTGTGAGTCAATTAAATTTTATTTATTTTATTTTATTTTATTTTATTTTATTTATTTTATTTTATTTTATGACAGAGTTTCACTCTTGTTGCCCAGCCTGGAGTACAGTGGCAATCTCGGCTCACTGCAACCTCCATTTCCTGGGTTCAAGCAATTCTCCTGCCTCAGCCTCCCGAGTAGCTGGGACTACAGGCGTGTGCCACCAAGCACGGCTAATTTTTTGTATTTTTAGTAGAGAGGGGGTTTCACTGTGTTGGCCAGGCTAGTCTCGAACTCCTGACTTCAAGTGATCTACCCGCCTCAGCCTCCCAAAGTGCAGGGATTATAGGTGTGAGCTATTGTGCCTGGCCAAACCTCTTTCTTTTATAAATTACCCAGTCTCAGGGAAGTTCTTTATAGTAAGATGAAAATGGACTAATACACTAGGTCATCCAAAGTCCAAATCAGGCAATCTCTGAGAAACCCACCAGATCCTTCCTGTAGCGCTGACTGTCACCAGCGTGGGGATTCCATGGCACCCTGGGGTGCTTAAATCCAGCCTCATACCCTCTTTCCTTGTCTATCTTTCTTTATGAGACTGTGGTGACTGGACTGTGGGTCTCTCAAGCACATCATATTCCCAGTGCCCTGTGCAAGGCCTGGACTCAAATAAGCCTAGGCTTGTTAAATACAATTTATGGGAGGCCACTGACTTGGACTGAGCTCCTGTACTGGGCCCCAAGAGATCAAACCCAAATGGAGTCACTCATGCTTAAGTTCCATGTCTTCAAATAGAAACTAAGCTGTTGATTTGGCCTTCCAAGAAATCAGAAGAGAGATGATAGCCAAATCCCCAAACAAGCCAGTTTTAGCCAGCATAAGAAAGTCCTCTCTGCTTTAACCCTTACAAGGAAAGAAACCTGACGCTAACCAGCAACCCCGTCTTTTTTTTATTTTTTTAGATGGAGTCTCGCTCTGTCGCCTAGGCTGGACTGCAGTGGCGCCATCTTGGCTCACTGCAACTTCCGCCTCCCAGGTTCAAGTGTTTCTCCTGCCTCAGCCTCCCAAGTAGCTGGGACTACAGGCGCCCGCCACCATGCCCAGCTAATTTTTTGTATTTTTAGTAGAGACGGGGTTTCACCGTGTTGGCCAGGATGGTCTCAATCTCCTGACTTCATGATCCACCTGCCTCAGCCTCCCAAAGTGCTAGGATTACAGGCGTGAGCCACTGCACCCAGCCAACCAGCCCCGCTTTTTCTATTATGTCGTTCCCTTGTTCCTGTTCAACCTACCTTATAAAAATTGACTCTGCTGCCACGCCCAGTGGAGTGCCTTTTCCAAATCTCTAGATGAAATGCTACCTGATTTATGAATCACTAATAAAAGCCAATTTAATCTTTACATTGGTTGAAATTTTGTTTGTGAACAGACCTCACCATGAAAGTAATAGGAAGCCAATAGCTGTTTTTAAACGGACACGACGCATGCTGGTACTTGCTGTGTTAGTGAACATTGTTCTAAGTACAGTGGTGTGTCACTTAACAATGGGGATGCATTATGAGAAATGCACTGTTAGCTTCATCATTGTGGGAACATCTCAGAGTGCACTTACACAAACCTAGATGGGACGGCCTACTACACACCTGGGCCACACGGTGCAGCCTATTTATTGCTCCTGGGCTACAGACCTGTGCAGTATGTGACTGTGCTGAATACTGCAGGCAACTGTGACACAACAGTGTTTGTGTAGCTAAACATCTAAACAAAAAAGGCACAGTAAAAATACAGTATAAAATATATAAAAAGGTACACTTGTATAGGACAGATCCATTATAACTTTATGAGATTATAATGTATAATGGGATGAACTACCATTGTATATGAGGTCCATCCTCTACTGAAAGATCCTTATGGGGCACGTGACTGTATTATAAACAATGGCAATGGGGATAACAGTGAAGTGGCTGCTCCAGTAATATTTAATATACATTTATGTACAGCATCTTATGCACCTGACTTTGTTCTAAAATGTTTATAAATGTTAACTCATTTGCTACTCGGAACAACACTGGAGGTAGACTCTACTATTATCTGCATTTTTTTTTTAAAGGCAGGGTCTTGTTCTGCCACCCAGGCTGGAGTGCAGTGGTGCAATCACGGTTCATTGCAGCCTTGACCACCTGGGCTCTCAAAGGATCCTGTCACATCAGCCTCTTGATCCCCGGTGTTAGCTGGGACCACAGGTGTGTGCCACCATGACCAGCTAATGTTTTGACTTTTTGTAAAGGAGAGGACTCACTATGTTGCCCAGGGTGGTCTTGAACTCCTGGGCTCAAGGGATCCTCCCACCTCAGCCTCCCAAAGTGCTGGGATTACAGGTGTGAGCCACCATGCCCAGCCTTATTACCTGCACTTTGAAGAAGAGGAGACAGTGACTCAGAGGGGCTCTTGTGCAGGTCATGCAATGGGAAGATATGCCACTGAGGAGGAAGTGGCTGGAGGACTTCAGCACATCAACAGATCCAAATGACAGCCATGCAGCAGCAAGAGCCCGGAAAATCCAAGAGTAGAGGACATCTCGTAGTCCACCCCATGAGGTTAGCTTTACCCTGATTCCAAAGCCAGACACAGACAGCACAAGCAGAGAGAACTGCAGACATTTGTCTGTCAGTGGGTGAGGACAAGGGCCAGGGAAAGCGTGTCTGTGGGCGCATGTGTGTTAGCTGTGCGTGTGTGTTTCGGCTGTGGGACAGACTATGGATGAGAGATGGAGACAAGGTGTGAGTGTGACAGAAAGACTGGAACAGAGAGTGGGAGAGTGTATATCAGAGCGTGTGTGACAGAAGGTGTGTGTATGTGCCTGTGTTGGAGAAAGAGTGGGTGTGTCTCTGTAAAAGAGTAAAGGTTACATACAGAGGAAATGCATTTTTGAGAAAGTGAATTCCATTATTTATTACTGTAGTTGCATGTGTCACCAAGAGCTCACGAATGACAAGAGATCCCAGCTGTTTCCCATCAAACCTGACCTACACCTTTCCTGTTTCCAAACTCCAGCCCCACCAGGCCCTCTTAGGGCCTGTTCCCATCTCTGGCTGTCCCACAGACCCCAAAGCCAGGGAAAGGTCTTTCCAGCTTCCTTCAATCCCTGGTTCCTCAGACCTGCGCTGCCCCATTTAGTAAAAACTAGCTGCGTGCAGCTACTTGAATTTAAACAACTTATTCATACACTTAAGATGACAAATTCAGTTCTTCATCTGCACTACCCATATTTCAGGTACTCAACAGTGACATGGAGCTGGTTCCACTCCTTTGGAACAGCACGGAGAACATTTCCATCATCTCAGAATTTGGATTGGACGCCCTGTCGGAGACCTTTGATATCACATAAAAAATGAGAAGACCTGACTGCCTCGCCCTCATCCCAGTAAAAGAGCTCTGTGGGGACCTTCATCTCAGAGCCAGGGCTGGAATCGCACTGGATTAGGGGCATTTTTCTGACTTCAGCTCCTCCGGAGGAAGATGCCCAGTTCTGGCCGGGGGCACTGGCTCATGCCTGTAATCCTGGCACTTTGGGAGGCCAAGTCGGGTGGATTGCTTGAGCTCAGAAATCCAAGACCAACCTGGGAAACATGGTGAAACCCTGTCTCTACAGAAAATACAAAATTTAGCCAGGTGTGGTGGCACACCTGTGGTCCTGGCTACTCAGGAGGCTGAGGTGGGAGGATACTGGAGCCAGGGAAGTTGAGGCTGCAGTGAGCTGTGATCGCACCACTGCACTCCAGCCTGGGCAATAGAATGAGACCTTGTCTTAAAAAAAAAAAAAAAAAAAGATGTCCAGTTCAGAAACACACACACACACAAACACACACACACACACACACACACACACGCATCCCTCCCCTCCATCCAGACACAGGCTGCCCACTGAAGAAGCAGAGCTCAGGAGAGGTTTTCTTTTTTTTTCTCCTTTTAAAAACCTTTATTTTGAAACAATTATAGACTCAGAGGAAGTTGCAACAACAATAAGTAGAATCCCCAGAACCCTCCCCGGCTTCCCCAATATGACACTTTGTATAACTATAGTGCATTAGCAGAGTCAGGAAATTGACATTGGTGCAATCTGTTCACTAAACACCCTGTTGGGTTCTCACCAGTTTTTACAGGCACACATTTGTTCGCTGTGTGTGTGCATCTGTGGTGCTATGCAGCTTTCTTCCATGTATAGATTTGTGCAACAATCAACACAGTCAGGATACAAAACTGTTTCATCACCACAAAATAACTGCCATGTGATACCCCTTAATCATGGCTCCTCACCCCCTGTCTGATAGTGGGCACCTTGAGAGCAGAAACCCAAGAACCTGCCCCTCCCCATCCACCCCGTCTCACCGTAAGGGCTGCCCCTCCCCATCCGCCCCCTCTCACGGTAAGGGCTGCACAGAAGCCAGGCCCTCTCTGGGCTGTTGCCCCAAGTCCCTCCCAGGTCTGTCTGAGTGGCTCTGCCTGCATCTCTGTGCTCAGGGTGCCTCATCCTGACCTGCACCACTGTCTTATTGATCTCACATGCTCTTCTACACATGTATCTTGCTGTCTGCTCTCTCCCTCTTGCCTGGAACAGCTCATAGAATCACCTTGTGAAACTGGCTTTTCATAAGTCATCCTTGCTGTTTCACATTGTGTCCAGTGTAAAACACGTTTCTGTTTAAGGCAGAGATTTTCTCACTTGTCTCAGAGTCACCGTGGACGGACTCTGTCTTTGCATCAGGATATAGTTTCTGTTTATGGAAGAGATTTTCTCACTTAGAGAATACATCAGGACTGGACTCTGTCTTTACATCTTGCATCTAGCAAAAAGTAAGCCCTAAATGATTCCTTTATAATCAGAATGCAACTTATTCCAATCGCATGCAATATTCTGTCTCCCAAGCCTTGTTTCCTTGCTCAGACATTGAATCCCAAGGAGTCATTCTACCCCAGCATGCGTCGTATTTTAATAGGACCAAATTTAGATCTTAAAAAATATATATCTGTGTGTATAGATATATGAATTAAAAATATAATATTTCTTCTTTCTATATACATAAGATATACATTTAATATGTGATACATGTGTAGGAAGGGTAAATAGTAAGATTATATTCAAGTTATTTAAAATTTGAAACAAAGCTATTATTCTATAAATTAAGTACAAACCAATCACTTAGCCTTTGGTATCTGCAGATTTATTCATTTCTCTTGGTCAAGACCTGAGTCTCTGTCTAGCAAAATAAATTAGGTACAGAAAGATAAATACCACGTGTTCTCACTCCTATGTGGGAGCTAAAAAACAACCATTTTGAGCTCACAGAAGCAGAGACTAAAATTATGGGTACAGAGGCTTGGAAGAGCATGTAGAGAGGTTGGTTACTTAATAAACAATTATATCTAGATGGGAGAAATGCCTTCTGGTGTTCCATGGCACTGTAAAATAAATTGGGTTAACTCTATTGTGTATTTTCAAATACCTAAGAGAGGATTCTGAATGTTCCCAACGTAAAGAAATAATAAATGTTTGAGGTGATGTTATGTTAATTTCCTTGATTTATTACATTGTACACACATATCAAAATATCACTTTGTATGCCATAACTATGTACAGTTACTACATGTCAACTTACAGTAATGAGGAAAAGAGAATAAATGAACCAAAAACAAGACCCACGTCTGAGTCATCTAATGTCATAAGGGCCCATATTTATTTATTTACTTTGAGACAGGGTCTCTCTCAGGTCTCCACAGGAGCTGAGACTACAGGTTTACACCACCACACCAGCATAATTTTTGTATTTTTTGTAAAGGCAGGGTTTCACCATGTTGCCCAGGCTAGTCTCAAACTCCTGGGTTCAAGCGATCTGCCCGTCTCAGCCTCCCAAAGTGCTGGGAATACAGGCAGGATCTACCACACCCAACCAAGGAATCATATTAAAGCTGACCAAAATTAGTTCTCTATTTTTTTTTAAAGAAGAAATTCATTATTATGTGATAAAGTGTGAGCTAGGGAAAGTAGTAAGATTTTCATGGTCATGGATACGTATTTTTGTGTATGTCTGTTGTTAAATGCACGCACTGATTTGTAACAAAATGGACCTCACCTCAAGTCCATAAGAATCATCCAAAATGGTATCTAATGACATTCCTGGGACCTCAGCCAATATGATTATTTATGCAGAATGCAGTCACTGGGTCCTGAGGATTTCATCGGATGTTGGTTGCTGAAACTGAACTTTATCGGGTCTTTTCCCCTTCCACTTTGGTTTTCCACATTTCAACATGTCACCTAACTGTCCTCAAACTTTACTTAAATCTTTGCAACTAAATGGAATCTTTATTACCCCCACTCCTCTGCTTTTTGAAGCAACCGTTTTCCTCCTGTGATAACACTCCCTGTGGCCCCTTTTATGGTCTCTTTTGTGGTCACAGGGTTTGTAAACATTCAGACTTTTTGCAACTACATATACTTTTATTCTTATTTTTCACTCTTCTCGCAGTTGTTGCTTTTTCTTTTAACCCTTTGAGGGAGTTAATTAGCCCCCTCTTCAACTTTTGTGAAGCACCTATTCATATTTGAGCCTCTGGGTTTTTGCTTAAATTGCTTTTCAATTTACTCACTGTTGAGGAAAGCCATTATTTGGGGATTGTAAGGTGTATCAAGCTTTTCTAAAGTGTAGACTTCTCTATACATAATGGCCTCTTTCCTAGAGTAGTTATCTGACAAGTCTATTCAAACAGAGAGAAACTGGTCATGAAAAGAGCTTTTTGCAAAACTCTCCTTTAGAAGAAATGTCTCTAGTCACACAGTGCTTTCTCCCTTCTTGATTTTGTATCAGTCCGAAGCTAATCTGTCCTCACTCTGGATTGCATGAACTTGTGCCTTCTTGGGCATCATGTGTTATTAATTCTCCCTCTCTTCCAATTGTAAATGTGTTTCCTTTATTGGTTCTTACCATTTAACATAAAAGTATACTCATCTTTATGGGGGGGGGGATGAAAGCTTTCTTAACCATATATCTCCCTTTAACTATTCCCACATCTCTCTTTTCAGCCAAACTTTTAGGAGGAGAAGCCCTCAGTTGATGTCTTTACTTTCTCACTTCTAGTTCACTCTTTCCCCACTGCTGACACTCAGCTTACTCACACACATCCCCAATCACTGAGTTGCCACAGGCAATGGCATTTGTGGCTTTTCTGCCTTCTTGGCAACATATGGCTCTGTTGATTGGGGTATTAGGTATAAAGTACCTACTGACCAGGCCCTGTGCTAGGTGAGGCCATTACAGAAATGAGAAGCAGACACCACCTCCATTCCGATGAGTCTCACCAGATCAGCCATTGCTGATGAACACTCAGGTGCCCTGACTCTCACTTTTCACTTTTGCAGGCTTTACTTCATGCCACATACATTTCCCTATTCCCCAAGCCTCCTTTCTCTCCAACCCCTCCCCTTATTAGACACAGCTTTTTAAAGCAGTCACGGTCTTACCCATGGCTTCAATTGTTTTCTATATGCTGTTATGACAATAGAATTTAAATGTTGTTCTTATATAACAGTTTTATTTTACGTGACACCTCATTCGCTACAACCATAAATTCAAAGTTTCCCTAAGAAAGTAATCACTAAAAAACTATTATATTCTTAGTATGTAAATGTTAGGAAATTTCCTTAATGGTTTGAGTTACTGTGTGTGTGTTACTTTTGAAAACATGAGTTGGGATGTCACAGAATGGACTTAGCCTACAGAGGTTTACATCCAATTTTCAACCAGACGGTTCCATTTCAATGTGACATTTAAAGAGTTCAAAACTGTCTCATTCCCCACACCTCTTTCTCGTCCTACATTCTCTGTCTAGGGGAGAATCACTGCTATTTACACAGTCCATCAAACTAGGGCCTTAGCAGCCTGTTTTTCCTTCCCCTCTTCTTCCACGTCTAATCACCAAGCACTTCCTGTTCTATCTCCCAAATGATCACAAAACTTTTCCTTCCACTTCAGTCACTGCTGCTGCCTTTTTAGCCTTACTGTTCTCCAGATGAACATAGAGTATCTTAATCAGCCCCACTGCTTTCATAAAGCCCTCTCCACTGCGCAGAGTGACGTCACTGCAAGCACATCGGATAGAGACTCCTCACCCCTGTGTGGTTCAGTGACTCTCGTTTCCAGAATAAAATTCAAACTCTACCCCAGCATCTAATTTTGGGTCAGATAGATCTGCATTTTCATTCCAGGTTGATTCACTGTCCAGCAGTGTAGCCTCAGATAATTGAACCCTCTAAGCCTTTGTTTGCTCATCTGCCTGAACTCACTGAGGGTTGGGACTGTTTCACACATGCAGTATTGGCACTTAGACTTAATGTTGAATGAAGGGGAGGCATTTTAAAATTCACATCAAAAAACTGTTATTCTTTAAAAAAAATACTAATCTACAAGGTCACTTCCCCTCCAAGCATGACGTCTACCTTTACTTTCTGATAATCATGATCGGCTTGTGGGGATCAAGATTACTCAGGATTAAATTCTGGCCCCATCTTGAGCCGTCATGGAAACTTGGGGAAGCTACTTAACTTCTCCATCTAGATTGATTCTGCAAAATCCGTAAAATGGAATGGTTTCTGGGGGTTAAATTAGTATACCACTGTTGGAATACTGTCAGGCTTGCCAGATATTTACTGTTCATCTTCATCAAATGAGGACAGTGGTATCCCACTATATGGTTTTCAATTTTGTGTAAGAAAAACGTGCTTTATGCATTGTTAGTAAAAGAAATATCTGAATATCCCTGCCATGGAAGAAAGAAACAGAGGGAGAAAAGAGAGTTGGTAGGTCCTAGCATTTCAGAACTGGGAAGGATGAGTTCAGTCCCTATTTTATAGACAATGAAGGGAAAGTGTGATGTGTCCTAGGGTTTCATTCAAGTCGCAGTCATCACGCTTTATCGAGAGTGGGACCAGGGCTCTAGGAGTTGCTGTGGTCAAGTTGAAGACAAAAAGTAACACTTGTAAGACAGGAGAGAAGCATTTACTTACAAAGCAGTCCGAAATTTGTGTATAACTACATTTGGTGAGCAAACGAAAGCTGCCAGACTCAGAAAAACAGAGATGCTAATGGAACTGACTTTAGTAACCAGGGTTTTCTATTGAGTTCATTGCCCAGGGTGACTTCCAATAACAACCTCCAACCCCTGCACTTTTCTCAGGACTGGAAAGCTCAGGCAGCCCAGGATGAATAATGCAGTCACCACAGAGGGACAGGGTGGCCACAAGGTGGGCAGCAGCAGGGATGGGCATTGTGAGGCATTTGGTGGGTCTGTGGGGTCGGCCATTGTGAGCCACTAGCCTGACTTGGTTGTTTCCTGGCAACCAGGTGACATAGGAGGTTTTGTGGTTACTAGGCAACGGCCAGGGCCAGCAGCCTTCAGTCGGTAGCTGGCCGTAGAAGGAGGAGGAGCTCCGACTACATTCTGTCCTTGTGCCTCTTGGACTTTTTTGTGTGTTTAGGTGCCCAATGGGGAGCAAACTGACTTGCTGCCTGGGCCCCAGCGGGGGCCTCAACTGTGACTGCTGCAGGCCAGATGTGGGACCCTGCCATGAGTGTGAGATTCCTGAGACTGTGGCAGCCACAGCACCAGCATCCACCACTGCAAAGCCTGCCAAATTGGATTTGAAAGCTAAGAAGGCCCAACTCATGCAGTACCTCAGCCTCCCGAAGACGCCGAAGATGCTGAAGATGTCCAAAGGTAAAGAAGCCATGGGTGCCATTTGCTCTCTGGCATCTCTCTGGCCACCACCGCCCCCACCCCTTTGCAGTCCCTCACCCTCAGAGACATCCTCAGCTTCCAGCTCCCTCCTGCCCATAGCCGGCTTTCCCAGGGCTAGGCATGGGGGACAAAGGCTGGTTCTGCCTCTTGTCTTTGTTGTTGAGCCTTCTTTGTTGAGGACTTTTTGGTCTAGTCCCGGCCCTTTTCTCAGTAAAATTTCAAATACTCCAGTTTTGGAGTCCCCATCCCATTCTCTATCCTTACCCATCCAGCTGGTCTGGTACCTAAGTGAAGGAGCCAGTTAAGGGCCCAATTGTTTCTTTTCTCCCATTCCTTAAGGTAGCTAATAATTGGGATAATTTAGACTCAAATATGTGGAGACTTCTTAAATTCAAAATAGAGTTTGCCATGGAAGAGATTATATGGTATTCTTAATAGATGGTTTTAAGTCACATTGACAGAAGCTGCTTTACTTCTTCCAATTGTAATTTGAAGAAAGAAGGAAAAAAAATTGGGGGACATGCTTCAAATGACTGCAAAAGGTATGAAATGTTAGTGCCAGAGCTGTAAAGAAATTGCTTTTGTGTTGGTTTTACCCAAAGAGTTTAGTCATGGAGCTCTGATTACTTTAAAATTCCCAATTTGACATGAGTGTCTCTTCAGCCCTACTACAGTGTAGTCCCTATATTGTAGACAAGGAAGGGAAAGTGTGATGTGTCCTAGGGTTTCATTCAAGTCGCAGTCATCACGCTTTATCGAGAGTGGGACCAGGGCTCTAGGAGTTGCTGTGGTCAAGTTGAAGACAAAAACTAACACTTGTAAGACAGGAGAGAAGCATTTACTTACAAAGCAGTCCGAAATTTGTGTATAACTACATTTGGTGAGCAAACGAAAGCTGCCAGACTCAGAAAAACAGAGATGCTAATGGAACTGACTTTAGTAACCAGGGTTTTCTATTGATTTCATTGCCCAGGGTGACTTCCAATAACAACCCCCGCCCCCCTGCACTTTTCTCAGGACTGGAAAGCTCAGGCAGCCCAGGACGAATAGTGCAGTCACCACAGAGGGACAGGGTGGCCACAAGGTGGGCAGCAGCAGGGAGGTGTGAGCCATTGGGTGGGTCTGTGGGGTCGGCCATTGTGAGCCACTAGCCTGACTTGGTTGTTTCCTGGTAACCAGGTGACATAGGAGGCTTTGTGGGTACTAGCCATTGGGCAGGGCCAGCAGCCTTCAGTAGCTGGTAGTGGAAGGAGGAGCTCTGACTACACTCTCACGACTGTTTTTTGCCTCTTGGTTCTTGTTATGTCCCTTTCTTTTTGAAATAAGACGGAAGGTCCCCACCTTCATAGACATAGAGATCCCATCTTATTTGTTTTTTAAAATAAATTGAAAAGTGAGGCGGAGCCTTGTGAGGATGATGGGAGAGGGCTTCCAGAGAGGAATTTCTTCTTTGGAATTCCTGAAATGGGAACAAACTTGTTTTGGGAAAAGGACAGAAAGACACAAAGGTGGCTGCAGCAGAGTGAAATGAATATGATGGGCTAAGGCCTTGTACACGTAGTGAGCATTGACAAAGAATATGGACTTTAGTTGAGATGGGAAACCACTGGAGGATTACAGCCTGGGGATTACTGTTAATCCTCCAAGAAGAAGACTGACCAGCGGCTGTGTGAGAATGTCCTGTAATGCAGGCAAGGGTGGAAGCAGGGAGACCAGCTAGGAGGCTGGTGGCGAAGTGCAGGTGAGAGTCAACAGTGAACAGACAGACGATCATGACCTGAAATAGGCTGACTTGAGAATCTCTAGAGTCAAGTGATCCTAAAAGTAGGTAATAAAGTGATAAATAGAGAAGTCACAGAAAAAGAAATGCAAACGATCCTTAAACACATCTTCACACATAAGAGAAAGGCAAATGACAACTATACTGCAGTGTCTCTCCTACTGAGTGGAATTCCAAAAACGTGGCAATACATTCTTTGGTTTGGCTGTAAGGAAAGTTGCATGCATATATTGCTGGTGGAAATGCAAAATGGCTCGACTCCACGAAGGGGAATTTGTCACAATTGCAAATGCATTTAAGCCAGAAATCCTACTTTGAGGCATTTTATCTCGAGGGTATACTCCATAAATATGAAACAACCTATGCACAAAGTCCTTGTTGCATTATTTTCAATAGCTCAATATTGGAAATAACTGAAATGTCTAGTAAGGGACTAGTAAAATTAACTGGTACTTCCACCTAAAGGAGAACTATGGAGCTGTAAACAAGGGTAAGATGTCATTTTACTGCTATGGAGTGATTCCCAAGATAGGTTACACAGAAAAGCAAAAAGGGAGAACATGCGGTAACATACATGAAAGAAAGCAGGGGGAATAATGTGTGATTATTAAAACAAACAAAAAAACAACGCTGGGGAATTCTTGATGCTGACCTGTGACTGTTTTCTCCTTAACTTCAGTGGGTAGCCAAAGTGCGTGTTTTCTCAAAATGTTATTTTGCTATGGGTTTTCCAAAGGATGTTAACTGTTTACTTTTCACTCAGAAGCTTTGCTTTGTAATTGATTGTGCATTATGTAGTAAATAGACTGCTCTTGCATTTTATTTGATCCTCTCAATGTTTTAAGTTAGGTGTAATATGGGAATTTTCCTTGTGTCACATATGAGAAGGCTGGTTCTAAGAAGTATAAAGTGAGTTTTTCAAGGTTTGAAAAAATAAATGTCAGATCAAGAATGTAAATTCTAGACATGGCATATAAAACTAGAATTTATTAAAAGGTACATATGAGCTGCTTTGGATACTACCTCTTTTAAAAAAAATTTCCTTTAGTTTATTAAAGTAGTTAAGCCTCAGGATTAAAACAGTAACATTAGATAATGAGAAATAAAATGGAGATACTTGTAACTCAGTAATGCTTTTTCTTTTTAAGAGACAGGGTCTTGCTTTATCACCCAGGCTGGAGTGCAGTGGCCTGATCATAGCTCACTGCAGCCTCAAACTCCTTGGCACAAACGATCCTCCCACGTCAGTCTTCCACATACCTAGGTAAACAAGAGCTCACTACCACATCTGGCTAATTTTTAAAACATTTTTTGTAAAGAAGAGGTCTCGCTATGTTGCCCAGGCTGGTCTCAAACTTCTGACCTCAAGCAATCCTCCTGCCTTAGCCTCCAAAAATGTCAGGACTACAGCCATGTGCCAGGACACCTAGCCCAGAAATGTTCCTAAAACTCTGAAAAATGAAGTTAAATGCTATTAACAAATCTATAAATGGATAAAAATATACTATGATATATCAAATGTCACAGCTCAGTCATGGTCACAACATTGATTAAAACGTTAAACAGTTTAGGCAAGTCTGAGAACTGAGAGGGAAGTACAGGATTGCTTTGGAAGCCAGAATTAGGATTGTCGGAGCAGGGGAAGCAGAAGCAAGGCGTGAGTGTGCACAGGACTGGGGCACGCAGCAGCTCCATGGTATGCTGTGTGTCCTCTTACATGGCAGGCCACCTCCAGGCCAGCAGATGAGAATCACCTGATGGGAGATTTAGGTAAAATCACCCAAAATAGAGTGGATTTAGGTAAAATCCCAGACTGTGCATCATAACTGAGAGACTTTAAATGTTTGTCTTATGGGTCATAAAGCTAATCAAAGTGAAAATGCAGGGATAATAGACCAGGTGAGTAAATGCAGTAAGCCACCTGCCATCTCTCCAGGGCATCAACCATCCCAAAGAAATATTGGGGCAGCAGGATTTGACAAAGCTTGTGAGAAGAGCTCTCAGTTCAGGGTCCAGGGCATGATCTAGAGGACTCAGATGTTCTGGGATCTCTGTCCCCAGGGAACCAACTACATTCTTGTCCCAGATCTTCATGCCTCACTGTGGTAACTCTGGGCAAGTCACTCAAAACGTCTAAGTTTTAATTCATTGAATTGGAAAATACGGGTTGTAGCCCCTGCTCTGCCTGTCCCTCAGGGCTAATGTGGGGATCAAGGAAATGACAGATCTTTTTCATGAGCTGGAAAGCATCATGCCCATGGAAACAGTGAAGTCACCTTCCACCCTCCCCTGCCCGGGAGCCATACACGCTCCCTCTCTGTATTCAACCACTACCAAGTATCTGGATTATTCTCCCAGACATTGAATGATTGAACACTGTTGGGCATTTACAAAGCATGAGTCTTCTTAAGCCTTTATCTGTATCTCATCCTTTTTAGCCCTATAGATCTTAGTAGGTCTATAGCAGAGATCTACTAACATTCCCACATCTCAGAATAGGGAACTGAGGCACAGAGGGGTTCATTTCACTCTCCCAGGTATGTGCAGATTCTAAGTAGGATTTGAACCCAGGCCATTCTTGGTGACTTGGATCTGCTGCTTTTCTATATTGTCTCATCTAAATAAAGGTATCTGCCTGCACAAACAGTCTGTTTTAAATGCAACGAACCTTGCAAAATCTTCCAAGAACCCAAATCTAATTCAGGTAGAGTTGAAAAGCAGACGGTGCAAACCGGGATCAAAACTTTCATCTGTGAATAAGTTTTTACTAATTTCTCTGCTATCCTCTGCCAGCAACATGTCAAGCACTGTCTTTATTATAATACATTTCCTAGAATCTATAAGAAGTCTGCTCTACCTTGCAGGTTTGGACGCCCGCTCCAAGCGCTGGTTAAAAATAATATGGAGACGGCACGGGATTTGGCCTCTAGAAAATATAGGTAATGTGGAAATTAAATCATTAAGTTCATTTAAGCAAACAATTCCAGTTTATTCATTCAGTGCTCCATATTAGAGAAACTCAGTAAATGCTATGTCATGTTCTTCATTTATTTCATTTGTGCCAATTTAAATGCATTAAATCAATGGTAGATGATACAACTACACAAGTAAAGTAATATTGACAAGTTAGAGTTGTTCTTTTGTGTGTGTGTGTGTGTGTGTGTGTGAAAAGGTCTCATTTGTCGCCCAGGAGTGCATTGGTGCAATCACAGCTCACTGCGATCTTGACCTCCCCAGGTTCAGGGGATCCTTCCACCTCAGCCTCCCAAGTAGCTGGCCATAAGGCACGTGCCACTATACCAAGCTAATTTTTTTTTTTTTTTTTGTAGAGATGGGATTTCACCATGTTGCCCAGGCTTAGTTCAACTTTGATAGTAAAGGACATCTCAAATGTTTAGACATTTGCTTTCAGTTTGGTCAATTATGAATACAGCTATTATAAACCTTCCTGTGTCTTGTTTGGAAACACAATTTTTAAAATGTAACTGAGGAAATACTTAGGATTATGATTACTTGCTTGTATGGTAAGACTACATTTTTCTTTGTAAGAATTTCGGTAGAATTTACCAGTGAAATCATCTGAATATAGTGTTTTAGTTTTTTGAAAAGATATTAATCATTGATTCAATTTCTAAAATAAATATAGGCCTATTCAGATGATCTATTTCTCCTGAGTTTTGGTCTTCTAAAATAGATTTTAACAGTTAGCTCATTTCATCTACTGTATCCAATTGTGAGCACAGATGTGTTCAGGATATTCCTTTATTATTTACTATTTTTTGATTTGACTCTTCTTAAACAGATATTATTAGTACACTGTGACTTCTTTCTTTCCTTTGTGGGTAGCCAAGGTAGAGGTTTATCAACATTACTGATCTTTTCAAAGAACTGGTTTTTGGTTTTGTTGATTTTCTCTGAGGATTTCCTGTTTTCTATTCCATTGTATTCTGCAATCATTATTTATTTTTCCTCTGTTCTATATTACACTGCTGTCTTTCTCTCATTGCCCAAGTTGAAGCTTAGATTATGAATTTAGATATTTCTCATTATTGACACAGCACCCTGAATGTAACTCATTGAATGTAATCTCATTAAAATGCACACTTAATAATTAAAATGATAAATATGTATGCTTCACTACAATTTGAAGAACACAACAGGGTAGATGATCAATGTAGTGGCAGGATATGTAGATCCACAGAAGTTAAATGATCTTGTAACATTTCATAAAATTGGGGATTTGCCTGGACCTTCAAATGGGGAGGAGGTGTGATGAGATGCTGTCGCTGAACCATACAGTGCCTTTCTGTATTAAACTGTTCTTAAGGTGACATTGATGAGGTTGCCCTAGCTGGAAAGCCAAGGCTCTTTCATTTCTTTCTGCCCCTCTCCTTTGCCTTCCCTCAACACCAAGGAGAATGGTCCAGCAGCAGCTCAGTCCATGCCTGTCAACCGCCCACCTCCACATACTCCAGCCCCGGTCCACATCCCCCAGGGCTCCTTGTGGGATTCCTCAGCAGCACCAATGCACTGACTGTCACTCTGTGTTCTCCTAGGTCCCACTGAAGATGTGCAGGCGTCTGCACACGGCGGTGTGGAGGAGAATATGACATCAGATATTGTAAGATGTATTTCTTTCTCTGGAAGAGAAATGCTTTTTGTTTTTTCTGGGGCTTCTAGAATATCAAGTGAGTATCATTTTTGACTGCCATCATGATTCAGGCCTCAGTGTCATGGACTCTAGAGACCGGTCACTGGAGGTTATGACCAACTGAGGCCTGATTGACGATGGCCGTCAAAGGACGGCATCACTTACAAACTGTTTGGTAGTGAGTGTATTTCTCAGTAGCAACCTTTTCTCCTTGAAAAATAATTTTGTATTTGCCAGCCAACATAGACTTGCTAAATATTCCAAAAAACCCACTGCATTTTCCACAAGCATCCTCTATGCTTTATTTGGGGGCCAGTGACTTGATCACTGTTTCACATCCGGTTTTTTATTTCACCAAGTGAATAAAAGGCCTTTGCCAACAGAACCCAGCATGATCTGATCCTCATGGTGTTTCTTTTTCTTTTCTCTTATTGCAGGAAATACCTGAGGCCAAGCACGACCACCGTACGTATTTTTTTTTTAAACAGCTTTATTTACATGTAGTTGACATGCAAAACAATTCACTCATTTAACGTAAGTGATTCAGCGTTTTTACTATATTCACAGGGTTGTGCAACCATTTTACAATCTAATCTTAGAACCTCTTTATTCCCCCTCAAAGAAACCCCACTAGTAGTCACTCCTCTGTCTTTCCCAACTCCCACACCCCTGGATCTAGGCAGCCACGAATGTACTTCCTGTTTCTATAGTACAGCGCCTTTCTGTGTTAACCGGTTCTTAGGGTGACTATTTCACATTCATGAGGTTGCCCTAGCTGGAAAGCCAAGGCTCTTTCATTTCTTTCTACCCTTCTCCTTTGCCTTCCTTCAGCACCAAGGAGAATGGTCCAGCAGCAGCTCAGTCCATGCCTGTCAACCGCCCACCTCCACACACTCCAGCCCCGGTCCACATCCCCCAGGGCTCCTTGTGGGATTCCTCAGCAGCACCAATGCACTGACTGTCACTCTGTGTTCTCCTAGGTCCCACTGAAGATGTGCAGGTGTCTGCACACGGCGGTGTGGAGGAGAATATAACGTCAGATATTGTAAGATGTATTTCTTTCTCTGGAAGAGAAATGCTTTTTGTTTTTTCTGAGGCTTCTAGAATATCAAATGAATATCATTTTTGACTGCCATCATGATTCAGGCCTCAGTGTCATGGACTCTAGCGACCGGTCACTGGAGGTTATGACCAACTGAGGCCTGATTGACGATGGCCGTCAAAGGACGGCATCACTTACAAACTGTTTGGTAGTGAGTGTATTTCTCAGTAGCAACCTTTTCTCCTTGAAAAATAATTTTGTATTTGCCAGCCAACATAGACTTGCTAAATATTCCAAAAAACCCACTGCATTTTCCACAAGCATCCTCTATGCTTTATTTGGGGGCCAGTGACTTGATCACTGTTTCACATCCGGTTTTTTATTTCACCAGGTGAATAAAAGGCCTTTGCCAACAGAACCCAGCAAGATCTGATCCTCATGGTGTTTCTTTTTCTTTTCTCTTACTGCAGGAAATATCTGAGGCCAAGCACGACCACCGTACGTATTTTTTTTTAAACAGCTTTATTTACGTGTAGTTGACATGCAAAACATTCACCCATTTAACGTAAGTGATTCAGCGTTTTTACTATATTCACAGGGTTGTGCAACCATTGTTACAATCTAATCTTAGAACCTCTTTATTCCCCCTCAAAGAAACCCCACTAGTAGTCACTCCTCTGTCTTTCCCAACTCCCACACCCCTGGATCTAGGCAGCCACGAATGTACTTCCTGTTTCTATAGTACAGTGCTTTTCTGTATTAACTGGTTCTTAAGGTGACTATTTCACATTGATGAAGTTGCTCTAGCTAGAAAGCCAAGGCTCTTTCATTTCTTTCTGCCCTTCTCCTTTGCCTTCCTTCAGCACCAAGGAGAATGGTCCAGCAGCAGCTCAGTCCATGCCTGTCAACCGCCCACCTGCACATGATCCAGCCCTGGTCCACATCCCCCAAGGCTCCTTGTGGGATTCCTCAGCAGCACCAATGCACTGACTGTCACTATGTTCTCCTAGATTTGGTCGAAGATCTCAGTGAAAGCCTATCTGTCTGTCTTGAAGACTTCATGACATCGGATCTCAGTGAAAGCCTATCTGTCTCTCTTGAAGACTTCATGACATCAGGTCTCAGTGAAAGCCTATCTGTCTCTCTTGAAGACCTCATGACACCGGAGATGGTAAGATGCATTTCTTTGTCTGGAAGAGAAATGTTTTTTCTGGGTCCTCTTGCCTTATTAATGAAATGAAGATATAAAAATCTGACCATGTATATTATAGAAGACAAATACAATTTTTTTGTTGGCTGGAATATCAAGGGAATATCATATTCGATTGCCATCGTCCACCAGGTCTTAGTGGATCATGGACCCTAGCGACCAGTCACTGGAGTTTATGACCAACTGAGTCCTGCTGGATGACAGTAGTCAAAAATGAGCGCATCACTTACAAACTATCTGGTAGTGAGCATATTTCTCAGTAGCAACTTTTTCTTCTTGAAAAATAATTTTGTGTTTGCCAGCCAACATGGACTTACTAAATATTCCATGAAAACCCATTGCCTTTTCCACACACATCGTCTATGCTTCATTCGGGGGGCCAGTGACTTGATCACTGTTTGACATGTTGTTTTCTACGTCACCAAGTGAATAATAGACCTGTGCCAACAGGGCCCAGCATGATCCGATCCTCATGGCGTTTTCCTTTCTCCTATTGCAGGCAAAGGAGAGATATGAAGATTACCTCTGTAAGTATATATATATCTAGATATATATAGATATATATGTAGATATAGATATAGATATAGATATGTAGATATACATATATGTAGATATATATATATATATATTTTTTTTTTGAGATGAAGTCTTGTTCTTTTCCCCTAGGCTGGGTTAAGATGGCACGGTCTCGGCTCAATGAACCCATCAGCAGCCAGGTTCTAGGACTTCTCCGGCTTTAGTGTTCCAAGTAGCTGGGATTACAGACGCCTGCCATCACGCCCAGCTCAAATCATTTTATGAATGCATATTTCCATCTGGGTGAAAAAAAAATCACAAGCCTCTCTCTCTTCCTACTGAGCACCTGTGAACAGTGACCTGCAGTTTGTGGCTGCAGCCAGTCCTCTTGCAGCCTGGTGTTCTTACATTTCATTCTGAGGCTCACATTCTCAGTCACCATGCAGAAGAACACCCGCCCCATCCTGGGTCATTACAGAGTGGGTCAATCCATCTGCTGCATCTGAAGAGCTGGGTCCAGCTTCTACAGTGAATCCATATATTTCTGTATTTCCTGGATAAGGAAGAGCAAAGGAGCTGAGCTGGTGGAGGAAGAAGAACTAATATTAACTGACTCCTTATTTTGTGCTAGTACTGTGCTAGTTACATATTTTATCTCATGTAATTCTTACCAAACTGTAAGGGGGTTTCGGAGTGATGGAGACAATATTGATGTTATCTCCATTTTAGGGTGAGAAAATAAAGGCTCAGAAATGTTATATTACTTGCCCAAGGTCACTCAGCTGCTAAGAGCCAGGATATGAAACAGAAGCTTTACATTAGAAGGGTTCAAATTTATTTTCAATTTCCCTGCTCCATTCTGAATAGGTATTGGCATTTACCCTTGGGCTATGTAGAACAAGTGCTTTGTCACCAAAACATCTATTGTGAACTCTTTCTGCCCTAGTAGGATTCGTGCATTTTATCTTCTTCAAAGTAAAAACCTTTAAGAGCCAGGAATCTGCCACACTGACTCTCAACTTAAATCTCAGCCACTTTTACCTTAAAATTCAGACTTGTGTAGACCTCTCTAGAAGACTTGGTGGACTAATCTTTAAGAGTTCATTTGCATGAGGGAGGAAGAGGAGCCCACATTTGGACCAAAGACATGCCTAGAAGTCGGCGCAGGAGGGTCAGCAGGAAGTCTGTTTCTTAGAGTTCCTCCAGCCCAGTCTGAGTGGTAGAAATCAGGAACTGAAAATAAATCTGAAAGGTGTTTGAAATCATGGTGAGACATGGGTAACATAATATATTGGGGGTTTGTGTTATAAATGAGGCTATTTTCGTATGTTTAGTATTTTGTATTTTTAGTAGAGATGGGGTTTCACCATGTTGGCCAGGCTGGTCTCGAACTCCTGATCTCAAGTGATCCCCCTACCTCAGCCTCCCAAAGTGCTGGGATTACAGGCGTGAGCCACCGTGCCCAGCCATATATATTACATATATATATATATATATATATATATATATATATATATATATATGTACACACACACACACACACACACACTTACGGTGGGCCAGGCACAGTAGCTCATGCCTGTAATCCCAGTACTTTGGGAGGCAGAGGCGGGCAGGTCACAAGGTCAGGAGATCGAGACCATCCTAGCTAACACGGTGAAACTTCATCTCTACTAAAAATACAGAAAATTAGCCGGGTGTGGTGGCGGGCACCTGTGGTCCCAGCTACTCGGGAGGCTGAGGCAGGAGAAAGGCATCAACCCGGGAGGTGGAGGTTGCAGTGAGCCAAGATTGCGCCACTGCACTCCAGCCTGGGCGACAGAGCGAGACTGCCTCTAAAGAAAAAAAAAAAAAAAAAAAATATATATATATATATATACTAAATACATATAATATATTATTGGGGGACCTGCCCTGATAATCACGTAGATTCTTTTCTATTTTTCCTAAGCGTCAGCTGGCTTGAGAAATAAAGGGACAGAGTACAAAAGAGAGAAATTTTAACACTGGGTGTCCGGGGGAGACATCACACATTGGTAGGATCCGTGATGCCCCACAAGCCACAAAAACCAGCAAGTTTTTATTAGGGATTTTCAAAAGGGGAGGGAGTGTGCAAATAGGTGTGGGTGACAGACATCAAGTAATTAACAGGGTAATAGAATATCGCAAGGCAAGTGGAGGCAGGGTGAGATCACAGGACCACAGGACGGAGGCGAAATTAAAATTGCTAATGAAGTTTCAGGCACCATTGTCATTGATAACATCTTATCAGGAGACAGGGTTTTGAGATCAACCGGTCTGACCAAAATTTATTAGGCGGGAATTTCCTCTTCCTAATAAGCCTGGGAGCGCTATGGGAGACTGGAGTTTATTTATCTCTGCAGCCTTGACCATAAGAGACAGGTACGCCCCAGTGGGGGGGGCAGTTCAGAGACCTACACCCAGGTGCGCATTCTCTTTCTCAGGGATGTTCCATGCTGAGAAAAAGAATTCAGCGATATTTCTCCCATTTGCTTTTGAAAGAAGACAAATATGGCTCTGTTCTGCCCGGCTCACCGGTGGTCAGAGTTTAAGGTTACCTCTCTTATTCCCTGAACAATTGCTGTTATCCTGTTCTTTTTTCAAAGTGCTCAGATTTCATATTGCTCAAACACACACGCTGTACAATTTGTGCAGTTAATGCAATTATCACATAGCCCTGAGGCGAAATACATCCTCCTCGACTGACAAGATTAAGAGATTAAAGTAAAGACAAGCATAGGAAATCACAAGGGTATTGATGGGGGAAGTGATAAGTGTCCATGAAATCTTTACAATTTATGTTTAGAGATTGCAGTAAAGACAGGCATAAGATTAAAAAAGTATTAATTTGGGGAACTAATAAATGTCCATAAAATCTTCACAATCCACATTCTTGTGTCATGGCTTCAGCCGGTCCCTCCGTTTGGGGTCCCTGACTTCCCGCAACAATATATAAATATATATATATAATATATAAATATATATATAATATATACATATAAATATATATAATATATAAATATATATAATATATACATATAAATATATATAATATATACATATAAATATATATAATATATAATATAGATTATATTATATATTATATATATAATCTATATTATATACTATATATAATATATATATTATATACTATAGATTATATATAGTTATATATAACTATATAATATATAACATATATTATATATTATATATAATCATATATATAATTATATATAATATAATTATATATTATATATTATATATATTTATATATAAATAATAAATAAATATATATTTATATATCAAATATATAAAAATATATTTGATATATAAATAATAAATATATAATATATAATATATTATATATTATATTATATTATATATTATTATATATTAATTATATATAATATATATAACATATATATTATATTATATATATTATATTATATAATATATAATATTAATAATATAATATATATTATATATTATTATATATTATATAATATATTATATGTTATATAATAATATATAATATAATAATATATAATATATTATATTATATAATAATATATATGTTATATAATATAATATAATATATATTATATTATATTATATTATATTATATATTATATAATATATAATATATTATATTGTATTATATTATATATATGATAATATATTATATTATCTAATATATATCTTATATATTATCTAATATATTATCTAATATATATTATCTTATTTATTATCTAATATATAAGATAATATATAATATATATTATATAGTTATATAGTTATATAATTATATATAATATATATTATATATTATATAAAACATATAATATATATTATGTAAAACATATATTATATATTATATAAAATATATATTTTATATATATAATTATATAGTTAATATATTATATAATATAATATATAATATATAGTTATATTAATATATTATATTGGCATAATATATTATATTGGCCAATATATTATATAATATAATAAATTATATATCATTATATAATATAATAAATTATATATCATTATATAATATAACAAATTATATATCATTATATAATAAATTATATATCATTATATAATATAATAAATTATATATCATTATATAATATAATAAATTATATAATATATCATTATATAATATAATAAATTATATTATATATCATTATATAATATAATAAATTATATTATATATCATTATATAATATAATATATTATATATAGATATTTGTTTTCTTTGAGGCGGAGTCTCATTCTGTCCCCTAGGCTGGAGTGCAGCGGCGCAACTGCAAGCTCTGCCTCCCGGGTTCACGCCATTCTCCTGCCTCAGCCTCCCGAGTAGCTGGGACCACAGGCACCCGCCACCACGCCTGGCTAGTTTTTTGTATTATTTATTTTTTTAGTAGAGATGGGGTTTCATCATGTTAGCCAGGATGGTCACGATCTCCTGACCTTGTGATTGCCCGCCTCAGCCTCCAAAAGTGCTGGCATTACAGTTGTGAGCCACTCTGCCTGGCCAGGTAAGTATATTTTTTAAAAAACAGCTTTATTGAGACATAGTTGACATGCAAAACAATTTACCTATTTAATGTGGGTGATTCAGTGTTTTCACATTTACAAGGTTGTGCAATCATTGTTAGAATCTAATTTTAGAATCTTTTCATTCCCCCTTCAAAGAAACCCCACAGCCATTAGTAGTCACTTCTCTCTTTTCCCCAACCCGCATATCCCTGGCCCTAGGCAGCCACTCATCTACTTCCTGTTTTTCTAGATTTGCCTACTCTGGCAATTTCCTTTTTTTTAAATTTAATTTCTACTTTAAGTTCAGAGATACATGCGCAGGATGTGCAGGTTTGTTACATAGGTAAAAGTGTGGCATGGTGGTTTGCTGCACCTGTCAACCCATCACCTAGCTATTAAGCCCTGCATACATTAGCTACTTATCCCGATGCCCTCCCTCCTGCTTCAGCCCCCGAGAGCCCCACTGTGTATTGCTCCCCTCTCTAACATTGTACATATTCTAATACTGCTCCCTTCCTAATGACAAATCTAAGTGATGAGTCAGGGAAGATTCTCTTGCCTGCTTTTGTCTGGAGAACCTCCCTGGCTTCAGGTTCCTGATAGGTGTGAGGACCTGGGGTACGTTGTGAGAAACAGATGGCTCACTGAAGAACTGTGATCATCTGCTAGGGTCCCTGGAAACAGCCATATCATTTAGATGGTGTGGGTTTGTGTGCAAAAGGGCTGGGAGGTAACTAGTAGTGAGTTAATATGTAGTGATTATGAGTGTGTTTGTCAATGTGTGTTTCCCCCAGAAAATGTGGACCCACATGCACAACACAGTACAAGTGTGACTGTTTTTGAATTCCTGGCCTATAGTGATCTTCTCACCTCGGCCTCCCGAGTCATGTCATTCGTCTAATAGAAAGGAAGAAAAAATCCCACCACCACCATACACTTCACATAAATCACCTCTTTCCTCCCTCATCACAGCTGTACTGGAAGGCCAGTTGAATATCCTACTTAGATATTGTGGGATGGAGAGGGTACAGAAAAGAATGAACCCAGATTTTAACCTCCTGAATGGAAGAGGCAAACATGAACCCAGAAATGGGTCCCAATGTTGATGCTCTGTGTTACTCAACTGTGTCACTCTGGCATGAGATAAGGTGTCCCCACACCAGGGAGTTCCAGCACTTATGTGTATACTTGAAACTGTAATGGCCTATAAAGCATGCCAAACATTGCCCATCATCCAAGGGGGCCTCAGTGGTCACATAACCCAGGGTAGCAAAAGATACTGGAACAGCAGGCGTTAACATGGGCATTACTGTGAAACACACATAGAAAGCCCACAGGCTTTTGGTCAGCTCACAGATTCGGAGAAGGGTAAGATACCACATAGAACAGTACACATCAGCATCTGTTAGAGCTGGGGTCATTCCTCAGCACTTGGTCAAAGCAGGGGAAAATCAGGAAGATAATTGTATTGTATTTAATAACATGACCACCTCAAGCCTCAGAAATGCTCCAATCTATAGGAGACAGACAAGGGCCAGTGCCACATCAGAATGCAGAGGACAACATTGTTGTTAGCCTGGCACCCATCACCCTCACTGGAGACCTCCTGCATAGCTAGAGTAGTGAGGCTCAGCACTCACCATGTGCTGACCCCCATGATGGACGTTTCACTGCCGGGGGCTGGTGGGAACATGAACAGCCACCGACTCAATGGACGCACAGACAGTGTAAAGAAAGGGAAGACCAGAAAGAGAACTATCACAGGGTTAGCACTCACTATCTCTAAATAATAGGGAAATGCAGCATTTTAAGGGCTTTTTTTATTTACTTGTCTTTGTAACAAAGGATTAGTAAAGATATAATACAATTATTTTGCCTACTGTTCTTTCAATAAATGAGTAGAGTGACAGTCAGTGCACTGGTGCTGCTTAGGAATCCCACGAGGAGCCTTGGGGGATGTGGACCGGGGCTGGAGTGTATGGAGGTCGGTGGTTGACAAGCAGGGACTGAGCTGCTGCTGAGCCATCCTCCTTGGTGGTGAAGGAAGGAAGGCAGAGAGGGGTGGAAAGAAATGATGACCGAGCCTTGGCTTTCCAACTAGGGGAACATAGTCAATGTGAAATAGTCACCTAAAGAATAGGTTAATACAAAAAGACACAGTAACAACTTCATTTAAGACATAAATAAGAAATGTCACCTCTTGCTTAGCCTTTCTATTCCTCACAGCATTTGACTCATCTGTATACTTTACTCCTGCCACCTCTCTCCTTCACCCACCTTTTCTAGGAAAGGCCTCAGAGTTCATCCTCCACAAGCCATCTTTAGCATAGAGAGTGGGGCAGGGCTTGTTCCTCTGAAGTTAGACCCTGGCCCAGCCACATGTGACACTCAGTTGTGGTAGGAAGCTGGGAAGGAAAAAGCTAATGACATCTAACAAATGTTAGATATCTTCAGATAATGTTACTAGAGATAGGAAATGCCATGTTTATGTGGAAACTCAGTCTCTCTTCACTTAGCCTAGTCATAGTTTCTGTGTGCTCTGCTCAGGAAATCCTGTAAAATGCAAAGGGTACAACAGGTTTGCTTGAGGGACTGAGCATCAGGCTGAGCTCTTGGCTTCCTTCCTAGGAGGATAAAGGGTAGGTCAAGCTTCACAAGGTTGGGGAAGACAAACTCAACACTGGGACAGGAGAATCTCCATCATGCCCTGTTGATGCTACTGTTGAAATAGGTTTTTGTTTGCTTCTGAAAACCTTCACGCGCAGAAAGCCAAGGTAGTTGCTTTAAGTCATGATGAATGTGAATAAAGTGGACCACATGATGATTTGAGGTTTCTTTTGGAGCAGGCATTCTATGGAAATACATTGCTTTTCAGTAGAATTTGATTGTCCTGTATGTGTCAGTATCTTTCCATGAACAAAACAGAACAATGAAACTGTTTGATTTGGCAATGTCACTTGTTCACCCGAGAAGTGATTTTCTCATGACCAGATTGCCCTAGACATCTTTCATCTCTAGAGAATAGATTCCCCATGGTGCTTCAGGGGCCCTGCTATGTATGATTCAAGGAAAATATCAGTGTTACCAACATTGAGGTTCTTAGAATTCATGGACAGCTGCCCAGTGGGCTCCATGGGAGAGAGCGAGAGAGAGCCTCATGCTAGACCTGAAGGGGAACATGATTTAGAGGATCAGAAGGAAAAAAAATGAGGATATTGGGACATTGTTGGAAGAGAAGCTCAAGGTTGCAAGGTTAGGGGCATCAGTTCAACATCATCACCGGGGCCCAGGCAGGATATGAGACCCCTTCTGAGTCGGAGTGAGCAGGACCTGGCCTTCCTGTCTGCCGAGAGTATGCTGTGAACATCATCCTAAGTGCTTCGAGAAAGCAGCTTCCTTATTGTACCATGTCTTCCCCATCTCTTTGTGTGATGATGGCAATGACACCAGCAGAAATTGGTGAGAGGGGCAGAACAGGAATCAGGTCCCCACTTTTCTGACACAGAGCAGACAGGACACGAGTCAGTAGGGATGGACTTCAGGGTCAGGCCAGACACAGAGAGGTCCCAGACCTGATCTTCCTGGGGCTGTGACAGATAAGTTTTCATTTTTCACCTCTTCTGGAAGTCACCTGGGGAACGGTCCTTCAGTAGACACTGTTGGCCAATGGTTGTCTGGCCCAGAAATATGTTTCAACTAGACGTACGCCCCAGTTCTTGGCCAGGGCAGTGGCAGCGCTCCCGAGTAGCAGGGGAAGTGGGGAGGGACACGAGTTCCAGTGCAGGGTGAGCTCAGCAAAGGGGTGGGGACTGACCCTAGGGTCCAGGTCATCGAATCCGCAACACCTCAGTTTCCACTTACTTTGGAGATGGTTTAACATCTTCAGTATCAAACTTGGGGTCTTCCCACAGATGGATAGAGGAACCCTGGCCATGGGTGTTTGCTGCCAGGGCAGTGACTGTCTCTTCCTCATTTGTTCTTATCCCAGAGCTCAGTCCTGGGGAAGACACGTTAGGCCCCATGAATGTTTTAATGAACACACCCCAGGGATGAGTTCTAGATCACCCCTGGGCTGGGATCTAGTGCAGGTGTGGAAAGGTTTTCTTCACAGCCTGTCCAGCCTATTGAGCCCCACACTCATCCTGGAGCCTGCCCAGCTTATGATTCAGGGTCCCTGGAGATGAGGGTGAGCTCCTGAGGACAGCGAGTTGCCCCTACCTCTCTGCTCCTGCCGCCGTGATCTTGTCTAGACAGGGTGTGCAGGGCCATGCTCTTCCACTGGGTGCAAGAGCGCCCCCTGCTGGAATCCCTCTGGACCTGGATATTGTCCTCATGGTCATATCCCCAGCCCCACACAGTGACTGGCTCTTATGCAGATGCCCAGGAAGTAACCTTAAATGTATGCTAGGATCAGAGCAGCAAACGATTCTGCAAAAAAAAAAACACCAGGATAGGGGAGTCTTGTCTTCCTCATTTCTGGATCTCTGGAGCTGTCCCGTCTAGTGTGGTTCTCAGTCATATATGTGCCTCTTCATGGTTAAATAAATTTAAATATATACAATTAAAAATTCAGAACCTCATCAACAGAGACCATGCAATGGCCCAGCAGCCACATGTTTATACAGCTCGAGTTTTCCTTCTTTCCACCCTTTGATGAGAACATGATCTTCAGGCTGGTGCTGGTTTACCGGAAATTCTCGGGGTGGTACATGTGCTAAAAGACTTTTAGTTTTGAGGGAAAGGAAAGTGGGAGATAAATCAAGTATATAATTTTTAAGAAATGGACCTTTTATTTTAAATGTGGGGACATCAGCAGTGGACTTTATAGTCCTTGGTGCCTTCTTACTGAGAAATTTCCTTTAGCACCTATTTTTATTAGTTTTTATGTAATGCCCAACCTTGTTTTTTCCTTATTCACCTGGCCTTGTTTCTCCCTTAGCTAAGAGAACCAGACAAACTCCATCTTGGCTCTTTCACTGGCAGACCCTTCCTCAAGGACTTAACTTGTGCAAGCTGACTCCCCAGCACATCCAAGAATGCAATTAACTGATAAGATACTGTGGCAAGCTATATCCGCAGTCCCCAAGAATTCGTCTGATTGATAACGCCCAAAGCCCCGCGTCTATCACCTTGTAATAGTCTTAAAGCCCCTGCACCTGGAACTGTTTACTTTCCTGTAACCATTTATCCTTTTAACTTTTTGACTACTTAACTTCTGTAAAATTGTTTTAACTAGACGCCCCCCCCTTCCTAAACCAAGATATTAAAGTTAATCAAGCCCTTCCCTCGGGGCCGAGAGAATTTTGAGCGTTAGCCGTGTCTCGGTTGCCGGCTAATAAAGGACTCTTAGTTCATCTCAAAGTGTGGCGTTTTTCTAACTGGCTCGGGCACAACATTTAGACCGAAGAAAGCCAAACACCATTTTATATTTGACAATGCTTCCTGTATGTTTATACCACATAAGCTAGATTTCACCTTTATATTAGTGTTATTAATGTTAAACAGTTTTAATAAAACTTTGTAGACATATTTATTCAATTTTTAATGTCTGACCTTTTATAGACTTTTTTAACCTTTTATAATTTTTGTCAAAGAGCAGGTTAGCGCTTTAAGAAAAATCTGTTGTGTTTTTATTTTAATGTCCAGTTCACAGAAAAACTGGATGATACCCCTTTAACTTTAGCCAATATGTTTACACACAGAATTTTCTTTACAATTAATGTTTCAAAACTTGCTTAAACCTTCAAAACAATTTTTGTAACCTTTTAATGTAGGTAAAAATCCACATTCTTATGCTTCCTTATAATCCTTTTACCAAAGGCATATTTTACTTTCCTTATATACCTTGCACATAAACTGTTTCTTCAACAGTTTTACATTCAGGAGGATAATTAATTTAAATTATACAACATTTCTTGCATAAATTTCTTTTTCTAACACTTTTTTTCATGATTTTCACAGACAATTCTTCGACATGTCTCAACTTTCTGACTTATTGGAAACATCCCTTTCCTTAAACAACTAGTTAATTTATTTCAGGACAAGAATTTTCCATATAACATTCCTTTTTATATAAATTCTGCACCCCCACTTTTTTTCTTTTTTCTTTTTTTCGAAGATGATAACCATTCTTTTCCAAAGCAAACTTCCTTCAGGTCTGTGGACTAGACTGTCTAAGGCCACAGATTAGAAGTTACTATCATACACGTTACACTGTTAACTTTTAGCAAAACAACTTTACTTTTGTTGAAAACCTTGTAAGTGTGGGATTTCAATTATCCTTTGCTATTAATAAGACTTTGTTTAGTCCAGATTAACTTAGAATTGGTATAGATGGCTTTTTTTTTTCCTGGTTCTGTAAGTACTTCAAGGCTTGGCTGGGTGGCAAAGTTGAGCAGACCAATTATTAGGCAATTTTCCTAACTCTACTTCTACAAGAGTTTTCCTCAATTACAAAATACCCATTGTGGTTTTTCTCCTTAATCACCTGGGAGGAACTATCTATCATCCTGTCCTGAAGGTAGTTCCTCCTAGGTCTGGTCGGATCTTTGTATGGTAATTAAGATTTAAATTCCCTGTTAGGAAATCTTCTGGGTTAAGGGAATTTTCAGGGGTTTATGTTAAATCATCTTTTTCTAACGGAGTAGCCCCATACTTTAAGATTTTTGAGTTATTAAGCTACCTTTTTGCTTTTTTTTTTTTAACTTAGGATACTTCTGAACTGGTGAGGTGTGCTCACAATGAGGTTTCCTCTAAAAGTTATTTTTCTACTTTCTTCTGTCAGCAAAGCAGTTGCCGCTACAGACTGAATGCATTCGGGCCACCCGTGGGTTAATGGGTTCAAGGAATTCACACCAAATCAGAATCAAAACCAAAACCAAAGTGCAGATAAAGGACACGCCCGTTCGTCAAGCAATTTAAACCAAGTCAAAACCAAAACCAAAACCAAAACCAAAGTGCTGATAAAGGCACGCTGTGGGTGATCAGGCCATGCTTCCACTCAAATGGAGTGGACAAGTTCCCAAGACAGGTCCTGTCAAGCAATTCAAGTCAAAATCGAAACCAAAACCAAAGTGC
This sequence comes from Homo sapiens, assembly GCF_000001405.40. Taxonomy (NCBI): domain Eukaryota; kingdom Metazoa; phylum Chordata; class Mammalia; order Primates; family Hominidae; genus Homo; species Homo sapiens. Next base: position 32,138,123 of record NC_000022.11, on the reverse strand, counting down.
CGATAAAGGCACGCCCATTTGTCAAGTAATTCAAACCAAGTCAAAATCAAAACCAAAACCAAAGTGCCGACAAAGGCACGCCCGTTTGCCAAGGAATTCAAACCAAGTCAAAATCAAAACCAAAACCAAAGTGCCGATAAAGGCACTCTGTGGGTGATCAGGCCATGCTTCCACTCAAATGGAGTGGGCAAGTTCCCAAGACCAGTCCTACCATGTTCCAGATATACGGACTCCAAGCGCCAGTTCCCTCCCGGTGCTCAGCCACTGCATTGATCCTCTGCTGGGGCCTGCCATGCACTGCTCTGACAAGGCATTCCACCGGGGCAAATGCCTACCCAGGAGCATGCTCAGGATCCACGTAGCTCAAGCTGGCCAGAGTCCCCTGCAGGGATGCTCCACAGGGCAAGCCTAAGCCACCTAAGGGGCTGCTTCACTTCCCGGTCAGGGAACCAAGAAATGTAGCAGGATGAGCCACAGACAAAACTCCTCAGACACCGGGTTAAAGAAGGAAGAGGCTTTATTAGGCCGGGAGGTCAGCAGACTTGCGTCATAAGAACAGAACCGAGCTCCCCAAAGAAAGAGTTCCTGGCCCTTTTAAGGGCTTACAACTCTAAGGGGTCCACGTGACAGGGTCGTGATAGACTGAGCAAGCATGGGGTACATGACTAGGTGGGGGTAAGCAAGGCAAGTATTTCTCCACACCATTGTCTGTGATCTATAGATAGCACAAGCGATTAGGGTGGGGGTTAATCTTCAGCCTACAGGCTAAAGCAACACCAGAGAGGATGGAAGTGAGACCCCTGGAGTTGTGGTTGTGGTCAGATTGGACCTTCCCGTGGCTGCTGAGACTCTGGGGCATTGGGGATACCTGAGGATGCCTCCCTGCTCTTACTTTGTGGTCACCAAGAGATCAGGGTTACCACAACCCTATAACGTAGAGAATCCCTGTCCCCTTCCATGCCACTTCACTCCTTAGGGAAGCAAACGCCCTCCCAGGAGCTCATTCCCATTCCTGGGCCACAATCAAAGGGAAAACCTGATCCAGACATGAATTTCCTTGGGCCTCTGCATTTCCAGACATCCTGTCATTGTATGCATGGGGCTGACTGTCTCATCTCAGCTTCAGAAGCGCAGGCAGAGTTGTGGACACCCTGCTGAGCAAATGCCCACCGGAGTCAGGGGTTCAGCTTTCCTGCACCACAGCTGCAGGTGGGGGCTGGGGAGGGGGGCATAGGGGGTCCTAGGGAGTAGTTTTTGTATGAGCCTGTGTCACAGCGCTTGATGTTTAGCAGAGAGACCCAGCTGACCGTCCTAAAGAAAGGTGCAACCGAAACTCACTTCACGGGGCCTTTATAACTGAATGAGACAACATACTTAGGTATCTGGTCCTTGATATCTGAGAGATGCTGAGTAAATGAAAATGATCCTTTCTCCCTCTCTGATACTTAACGCGGCCCCTTACATTAGGCTGCTGGTTCTGGAGAGTCGCAGGGAAGCAGGATGGCTCACGCTGCTTTCTCCACAAGCTCTGGCACCCGGTAAGAACCAGCACAGCATGCATGGAGCACACACCATACACTAGGCTTGGTGCTAAGAGCTTTACATGCTTGATCTCATTTAACTGCCCTCAGAAGTCAGGGGATGATCCCCATTTCAGAGAACACTGAGGTTCATAAATGTCAAATAACCTGCCTGGAGGAATCAGGTCTGAGAACAAGGTCTGTGCTCATGACCACTGGGTGGAACCCTTCTCAACATGGTACCCGTGGTCCCAGAGTCACAGGCCTTCTTAAGATGTGAAATTTGGTTAGAGATCAATTTCCTATCTCTGGAATCATCATATCCCCTCTCAATTCTTGTGTTTACAGGCAAGGGCGTGTCAACATAGAGACTTAGGAGGACAAAGTGAACTTCCTGAGTCCCAACAGGCAGGAGTCCTGCCAAAGCCACAATGTATGTGTCACCTTGGAAGATGACGCACCAGGAAGAATGCGGAGGAGGGAGGAGGAAAAACTGCTGATGAGGCTGACTTGCTCTTTGGGGCCTGTCATATCAGCAAAGCCAGCTCTTTTGAGATGGAAGAACAAAGATGTTTCTCCTCTGTGAGGAGGTGACAGTGGTGTTCTGGGTGAAGGAGAGCAGCTTTGTCCTGGAAGGAATCTGACTTGGATGGAGGCCCAGTTGTCCAGCAGGTGCCTGCTCCCTTTCTGCTCTGGCTTCCAAAGGGCTCTCTGCAGAGCTCCTTCCCGGAGCTGCTGGCAGGAGGTCCTTTGCTGGGGGCAATCCATGGGGACGTCTGGAGCAGTGGGAGCCTATCTTGGGACCTGGATGGGAGCTGCTCCACCTCAGCACCCGGGTTATGAGGCACAGGGCTGGGCACCACGAGGGCATGGGTGAAAGTGGCCTGGATTTGGATTTCAGAAGAACTGGGCTTGAGTCCTAGTTCTGCCATAAACCATGTGACTCTTAGGCAGTCACTTTATGTTTTTATTTCAGTGGCATTAAAACTGTCATTACCTACAATATGGGAATTGTAAGGAACTACTGAGAAAACAAATCTCAAAATGTTCTGTGCAGACTCTCAAATATTGTGCAAATATTAAACTGTTGTAAAATCCAGTCTCTGCCTTTGAGATTTTAAAATCTGGTGAGCAGGTAAATGCAAGTACACATAACAGGAGAACAATCTCCATTTAGTGCTGGGTGATGGGAACAGAGAGCAAATGCTTTGAGTTTGGGGTAGTGGGCTGGGGTGATGAGGGAAGGCAGGAACACGGGAAAGGCGGACCTTGAATTTTTTTTATTTTTTTGAGAGGGAGTCTCGCTCTGCCGCCCAGGCTGGAGTGCAGTGGCATGATCTCAGCTCACTGCAACCTCTGCCTCCCGGGTTCCAGCAATTCTCTGCCTCAGCCTCCCGAGCAGCTGAAATTACATGTGCCCGCCACCATGCCCAGCTAATTTTTCTATTTTTAGTAGAGATGGGGTTTCACCATCTTGGCCAGGTGGTCTTGAACTCCTGACCTCGTGATCTACCCTCCTCGGCCTCCCAAAGTGCTAGGATTACAGGTGTGAGTTACCACGCCCGGCCTTGAATGGGTTTTTAAAGATGAGAAGACAAGCTGGGTCACGGGGCGCTCCCACAGGGGAAGCATGAGCCAAGGTGCGGCAGCCGCTCTACGCACGACCTGCTTTAGCCATCGGGTGCGACAGAGGCTGCACACCGGTGACAAATTAGAGAAATCCAATCTGCACATATGTTTTATTTGCACCACACAGTGTTTGTTTAATATCATCTGGCCACTTAGGGAGATTTAAAATGAAAAATCCAGATTTCCCATTCTTTTTTTTTTTTTTTGAGACGGAGTCTTGCTCTGTCACCAGGGCTGGAGTGCAGAGGTACAATATCGGCTGACTGTAACATCCACCTCCCAGGTTCAAGCAATTCTCCTGCCTCAGTCTCCCGAGTAGCTGAGATTACAGGCATGCACCACCACGCCTGGCTAATTTTTATATTTTTAGAGGAGACGGGATTTCACCATATTGGCCAGGCTGGTGTCGAACTCCTGACCTTGTGATCCGCCCGCCTGCGTCCCCCAAAGTGCTAGGATTACAGGCATGAGCCACCACGCCTGGCCCAGATTTCCCATTCTTTTTAAAAACTAGAAGACCTGGCCACACTGGGTCCTCTTCCCCAGCCAGTACTGATCCTCTGGAGTTTCTAAGAGAGTTCATGCCACACCCACTCCATCGCCTGCTGCCTTTCCCACCTACTCCAGTTAACTCACTCCATCACCACCTGACCTGTCGGCATCTGGGCTTGTGATTCCTGAGTAAACAAAATTTTCTACTGGGAATAAAGTTTTATGAAGGGAGCTGTATGAGGGGAGACATGGGTCCCTAGACACCCTAAAGGAGAGACTGAAGTGGACCCCAGCTATAAACCCTCCCGTCAGCCAGCTTCCAGCTGCCACCAGGCCTACTCCTGCACACCTGACATCTTTGCCCACGGTCATTGATGCAATCACTTTCTTCACTGCCTCCTCCTCCTTCTCCTTCTTGTCACTATTGAGCTCTGCCTTCAGCTCAAAGATCTCCCCTAAGGAAAGGAGGCAAGCATGAGTGATCCCTCCCTACCCTGGCAGGGGATAATTCCCGGTATCTAACTTCCAAATGAACCAGAGGGAGGCACGTAAGACATACTATGCTGTTGGCTGAGGACAGCTTCAGGTGCCTGGCCTCAGGTGGGACAGGCAACAGTGCGGGACGACTATTAGGATAGGAATTAACAAGATGGAAGCTTGGAGATCAAGTGCAGTAGCTCACACCTGTAATCCCAGCACTTTAAGAGGCTGAGGATCGGCCGGGCACAGTGGCTCATGCCTGTAATCCCAGCGCTTTGGGAGGCTGAGGCGGCGGATCACGAGGTCAGGAGATCAAGACCATCCTGGCCAACACAGTGATAGTGAAACCTCGTCTCTAATAAAATACAAAAAATTAGCCTGGTATGGTGGTGCATGCCTGTAATCCCAGCTCCTCAGGAGGCTGAGGCAGGGGAATCACTTGAATCTGGGAGTCTGAGGCTGCAGTGAGCTGTGACGGTGCCACTGCACACCAACCTGGGTGACAGAGCAAGACCCTGTCTCAAACGAACAAAAAACAAACATGTTTTTTGTAGGAGAAAGATCTAAATCCTGGTTCTGCTGCCTGCTAACCCCCAGCAAGTTGAAATCACTCTGAGCCTCAGTTTCCTCATCTATAGAATCAAGATGATGATGCCTACTTCACAGGGTTGCTGGGGGCTTAACTGACATAACGCATGTAAAGAACAAGGCCAGGCAAGGCTGAGGTGGGTGGACTGCTTGAGCCCAGGAGTTTGGTTGGGTGAGACCAGTCTGGACGACACAGTGAAAACCTGTCTCGACAAAAAATATAAAAATTAGTGGGTATGTTGGCATGCATCTGTAGTCCCAGCTACCTAGGAGAATTGATTGAGCCCAGGAGGTTGGGGCTGCAGCTCCAGCCTGGGGGACAGAAATCCTGCCTCAAAAAAAAAAAAAAAAAAAAAAAAGAACAAGCACAGTACTGGCATGTAGTACATCCTGTATAGATGCCAACTCCCCACTTCCTCTGACTTGGAGGGTATCTTGTTGGTTAAGACCATAAGTCAGGTGAGCCCTAGCTGGGGGACCTGCACATTTCCCTCCACCTCTCTAAGCTGGAGCTCCCTCATCTGGAAAGTGGGGGATGATGATGAAAGTTGCATTAAAGACTAAAGTGTGGAAAGCACCCGGCAGAGCCCCAGACACCCAGTGAGAATTCAATGAGCAGTGGCTCTGGCACCACCCACGTACTGAACTCAACAGAGGTGCCCTGGGCTTCTGTTAGCTCCCAGGCCAGGCCATGCGTATGCCCATAGCTGCCCAAGGCAACTCTCCTGCCTACCTGGCTCTGGAGAGGTGGGAAGCAGGCAGGCCTCCCTTTAGGTGTGTCTGAGGGTGGGTTATGGGGCAAGGTACTAGAAAGGGCCCACTAAGGCCCGAGGCCCAGTGCCTGGTTGGAGCCCCTGAGGACAAGGGTCCTCAGGCTGGGCTGGCAAGCAAAGGGCAGCCCGCTCACCTCTGGGCCTCGCGGTCGTCCTTGGGCGTATAGTTGGTGAGGCAGTCCAGGATGAAGATCTGGCCCCACTCGGTGCACTCAATCAGGGCTGTCAGCAGCTTGTTGATGAACTGTGGGTTCAGATGGAGCAGGTTGTTGCTCGGGTGAGACTCGGCGATTTCTGAGAGCGCTGCCACTGCGTTGGCCACCACCTGGTTGAGAGGGTGGCAGGGGCAGAGGCTGGAGGTGCTGCTCACAGGCCAGGGAGCAGTGGGCTACTGATGCTGGCTGGTCAGAGGTCAAATATCCTGAAAGGAATATGACCTAATGAGGAGGGTCTGGAGCTGCAATGAGACCAACTCCAAGCACTCATCCTGCTGACTCCTCTGCAAATTGGAAAAAAAAACAAGTGTGCCTGCCATTTAGAAAAACAAGAAAGACCTAGCTCCAAGTGCCTAGCCATAGAAAGCATTCCCAGCTTCCTAACACAGCAGCGCCTGTCTACCAGCAACAGCAGCTCACTTCAATGCTTGTCAGCTGTGCTTCTCAGAGATCGGGGATTGCTGCAGAGCTCCTCGAGGCTACTGGGAGTGGATGGGGGCTGGAGAAGAGGGGCTTGCCAGGTGAAGCTCCAGGCCCTCAATCCATTTCCACTAGAGCAGGTGTTTTTGTTTGTTTGTTTGTTTTTTGAGACGGAGTCTTGCTCTGTCGCCCAGGTTGGAGTGCAGTGGTGTGATCTCAACTCACTGCAACCTCTACCTCTTGGGTTCAAGTGATTCTCATGCCTCAGCCTCCCAAGTAGCTGGGATTGATTACAGGCATGCACCACCATGCCTGGCTAATTTTTGTATTTTCAGTAGAGATGGGGTTTCCTCATGTTGGGCAGGCTCATCTCAGAATCCTGACCTCAGGCGATCCTCCCGCCTCAGCCTCCCAAAGCTCTAGGATTACAGACGTGAGCCAATGCACCCAGCCTATTTTGTTGTTGCTGTTGTTTTTGAGATGGAGTCTCACTGTGTTGCCTACTCTGGGATGCAGTGGCTCAATCTTGGCTTACTGCAATCTCTGCCTCCTGGACTCAAGCAATCCTCCTGCCTCAGCCTCCCGAGTAGCTGTGATTACAGGCATGTACCACCACACCCAGCTAATATTTGTATTTTTAGTAGAGATGGGGTTTCGCCATGTTGGCCAGGACTTAGTGGGCCCTTTCTAGTAGCTGGTCTCGAATTCCTGACCTCAGGTGATCTGCCTGCCTCAGCCTCCCAAGTTGCTGGAATTACAGGCATGAGCCACTCGCACCCGGCCTCAGGCAGCTGTTTGGTTGTTTTTTTTTGTTTTTTTTTTTTTGAGACGGAGTCTAGCTCGGTGTCAGGCTGGAGTGCAGTGGCGCCATCTTGGCTCACTGCAACCTCCAACTCCCAGGTTCAAGTGATTCTCCTGCCTCAGCCTCCCGAGTAGCTGGGACTACAGGAGCATGCCACCACGCCCAGCTAATTTTTGTATTTTGAGTAGAGACAGGGTTTCACCATGTTGGCCAGGATGGTCTCAATCTCCTGACCTCGTGATCTGCCTGCCTTGGCCTCCCAAGTACTGGGATTACAGGCGTGAGCCACCACGCCCGGCCCATTCTTCCTTTTCTTTGTGGCTTCATACTTGAGCTGGGAGACTCTCTGGCCACAGTCCTGTTCATTTTGTGTCTTCTCTACTCTTCAAGGCTGAGACAATCCTGTACCTCCAGAAGTCTTGGCAACAGGGTTTCTGCACCATCTCAGCTCCTGCAAGCACAGTCATGTGGCCATCTGGTGTTGTGGCTGTGGCTGCTGCCTCTTAGTCAGGCCCAGTAGATGCCGTGATTAAGTGAGTGCATGTGTTACCACGTGCACAGTGTATGTGTGAGACAGCAAGAATTGTTTCCCCACTGTCATGAGCACAGGAGGTGGCCCCAGACACATTATTGACCATGGGAAGGCTCCCCATCCTGACCTGACCTTGGTATCCTTCTCCACAGAGCTCTGTGTCCACTGGGCTCTTCTTGTCCTCTCACCAATGTGGATATGTTTATTGTGTCACAAGCTGGCTGAGCCTGAGCATGTCCGTTAGCCTCTCAGGAGGTATATCAAGTCTTCTCAGAAGGCAAACAGATCTTCTCTTGCATCTGTGGAAGTGGGGACATAACTGCAGGTAATAAGAGCATCCAGCAGCTTGGCCGGGTGCAGTGGCTCATGCCTGTAATCCCAGCACTTTGGGAGGCCGACGCAGGTGGATCACAAGGTCAAGAGATCAAGACCATCCTGGCCCACATGGTGAAACCCCATCTCTACTAAAACTACAAAAGTTAGCTGGGCGTACTGGTGTGTGCCTGTAGTCCCAGCTACTCAGGAGGCTGAGGAAGGAGAATTGCCTGAACCTGAGAGGTGGAGGTTGCAGTGAGCCAAGATCGCGCCACTGAACTCCAGCCTGGCGACAGAGCAAGACTCTGTCAAAAAAAAAAAAAAAAAGCAGCCAATATCATAGTTATAAATGGACAACTTTACCAGCTTCAAAGGAAGCATCCAGGTCAGCGCCAAGACCTCTGTAGACTTGTGGCCAATGGTGTTTCCATCATGTCTTGCGCTCTCTGCCAGCAGCCTGACATCGGCCATTGCTATCCCATAGTCGCCATTTGCACACCGCTGTGCACATCAGTCACTTCGCTTTTGCTGATCTGGATCAAGTCCCTCTCACCAAACACTGGCGTGTCTTTATGTGCACTGCACTCTCCACTGTCAGCCTCTGCTGCATGGTCCCCTTACAGATGCTGAATGTCCATGCGTGCTGCTCTGAGCCATGCAATATGATAATGTCCAGTCCCTCGGACTCCGTGAACTCCTCCATACTGTCTTCTTCACTCCTCACAAAGCACCCAGTCCTCGTCCACATGAGTAGATGGGCAAGCGCTGTCCCCACAGGCTCTTTTCATTGGACTCCCACGGAGGGCACTGAGGACTAGTTGGGGGCACCTAGGACTACTGACTGTTCTGCCTTTGGATAGACATGGTCTATCCTGGAACAAATTCGTCTTCCAAGGGAGAAGATGAAGGGGCCACTGTATTTATAATGCCCCAGGGACCTGCTCACGTCTGCTCGTCCTTTCTGTAACCTCTACCTTGGTTGGACCTGCCTGTGGGCCGCCTTTAAACCTCTGCAGCCCACTGTGACCCCTCACCGTCACACAACACTGTGTCTGCATCTCCATCTTACACAAAGCCACCCTAGCAGGAAAGGACACCCCCCTCCTCTCAAAGACTGACACTTTTCAGCAAAGGGTGACCCAGAAAAGATGCAGACAGAACAAGGCCAGTGTACCTAAACAATACCTACCCAAGGAATGCTCAACTTTCTATAGTACCAGAAACTCATACTTCATTTCAATGGACTTCACAGGAGAGTTTAGAAATAAAGATTGGACAAACTATAGAAGACACACAGAAGTATAAACACACAGAGATGTTGGGCAGATATGCCAGGCAAACACTCATGAAACAGAAAGTTGATGTGGCTGTGGTGATAAACAGCAAACTCAACATGCTTGAAGACAATGTGGTTTATTTTGTCTTTAGAAGATCAATGCCTAGGCCAGACCAGTGGCTCACACCTGTAATCCCAGCACTTTGGGAGGCTGCGGTCAGCAGATCACCTGATGTCGGAGGTTCGAGACCAGCCTGACCAACATGGAGAAATCCCATCTCTACTAAAAATACAAAATTAGCCAGGCATGGTGGCACATGCCTGTAATCCCAGCTACTTGGGAGGCTGAGGCAGGAGAATCGCTTGAATCCGGGAGGCAGAGGTTGCGGTGAGCCAAGATCACGCCACTGCACTCCAGCCTGGGCAACAAGAGCGAAACTCTGTCTCAAAACAAAACAAAACAAAACAAACAAAAAAAGAACATCAATGCCTATTAATAAATGGTTCAATTCAAAAAAGAGAATTTCAGCTCTCAGCTCCAACACTGATGAGTTGTGTGACCTTGGACAAATCCCTTCGCCTCTCTGGACCTTGTTTTTTGGGTACTTCACATGGGGATGATAATAGCACTGATGACTGGGTTGTGGTGAAAATTAAGGGAGACAATCTGCATAGTAAATCCTCCATAAAAATGGGCTTCTGTGATGTAGGGTGAGCTCCTGGAGGACAGGGTGTTCCTGGAGGACAGGTGTTCCGTTTTTTCCGGGACACCTCCAGGGCCCCACCCCCAGGGCCTTGCTCTGTGCCAGACACACAGTAGGAACACAGATTGCTGAAGGAACTGAGTCTCCATTTCTGTGGCTTCTGGCCACAGACCCAGAGAGCCAAGGCAGATTTTCAGAACACCCTCCCCACCCCGGCCAATTCTCCTGTGTTTATCCAACTCATTTCCTGGCTAGGTGCGGGCAGAGCAGCAGCCCAGGCCTGGCCTTCTGTGCTGAATGTGGTGGGGGCCAGGGGCAGCTGCTCCTCCAGGAGAGCGCCTCCCAGTGGAGGCTAGGAAGGAGGGGAGGGCTGGGAGTGGTGGTGTTACCAGAAAGGGGTCCCGATCCAGACCTCAAGAGAGAGTTCTTGGATTTCTCAAAAGAAAGAATTCAACATTAAATTAAATTTTATTTTCGCATTAGTGCATCTTTAATGCTAAAGTTACTTTTTAATAAAATTTTATGAATCTATCCAATTTTAATTAATTTGACTATAAGGTAAGATTTTGGTAACAATTTATAACTATAATTTTTTTCTTGTTAAAGAACAGATCAATGTTCCCAAAAACCCTATTATTTTGATGTACGGGCCCAGATTCTGGCTCTGTTTCAGCGTCTTGTGTTTAATATTTAATTTATGGAAGAATTAAATAATACCCTTTCATTTTAGTCAACTTGCTCACAGAATTCTTTACAAAGTTTCATAAACCTCCTATAACTTGCTTAAACTTTATATTCTTTCAACTAAAAATAATTCTTAAACTTTCGAAGTTAGAAAAAACTCACTTTTTTTGAAAAAACCATTTTCCCATGTCAAAAACACATAATTTTTCTTTTTAGTGTAAGCAATTTTAATTACATACCAGGTGCGGAGTCTAGGATACAAGACAGAACTGCAGATAAAGTCTGACTCTTTCTAGCATAGCTAGGAGGCATGGTTAACTCCACCTGTCCCCAGGCCTCACCTAGAAATCTAATGGCTCCAAACCAGGTAAACTGAACAATTTTCCAAAGTCAAAGAAGCAGTTTATGACATTAAAGCACTTAGCGAATTCAATCTCTGACTTAATTTAAACCAAATGTCTAAATTTTGAAAACATTTTCATTTTACCAATAACTTTTAAAAGCCTTTATTTCCCAAAGATTACTGAAGTTACATGAACTAAAAGGTATGAGAACTTCTATTTTTCTGATGAAATATTTGGGAGCTTTCATTTTCTTTGAAGCCAATTAAAGCTCCTTTATATAAACATCATACACAGCACTTCCAGACAAGATCGAGCAGTTCTAAGTTTTTCTTTCCCATCTTATGACTTTCTGACTTGTCCTATACTTCCCTTTTTTCATCTTTTATTTTATTTTGAGATGGAGTTTCGCTCTTGTTGCCCAGGCTAGCGTGCAATGGTGCAATATCGGCTCACTGCAACCTTTGCCTCCCAGGTTCAAGTGATTCTCCTGCCTCAGCCTCCTGAGTAGCTGGGATTATAGGCATGCACCACCACACCTGGCTAATTTTGTATTTTTAGTAGAGATGGGGTTTCTCCATGTTGGTCAGGCTGGTCTCAAATGCCTGACCTCAGGGTGATCCAGTTGCCTTGGCCTCCCAAAGTGCTGGGATTACAGGCATGAGCCACCGCACCTGGCCTACTTCCCTCTTCTCTAAATAATTAGTCATTCTACTTTAGAACAATAATTTGTAATACAAGATCCTCTCTCCCACAAAATCTCTTTCCTTCATAACCTTCCTTACCATAAATACATCTTCTTACCCACAATTTTTTTAGCTCTCTCTCCCCTACTAATTTCTGATGTCCACCCACATCCAAAAGGTCAGGTAAAGCAAGGCAAAACAAAGCAGAGCCTTCCCCAGGTTTTGAGAGGGACCTGTCCACTTACACTTCTTGGGGGTCCATGAGGAAAACAGAGGCTCCTCCTAAAATGGAGTCTGTGGCACCTTCTGTTTTTCCCAAGGACTCCCAGGCTGCCAGAAATTACCTTAGCTCCTCTCATGTGGCCATCAAGAGTGGCGACAAGACAGACTAGGGAAATAATTCAGTCAACTGAAAAGAAAAAGAAAAAGTTAGTACTGTCCCCATTGTAAAGATGGATAAACTGAGGTACCACACAGCTTAAAAATTCATGTTCGCATAGAGTTAGGCTCCAAAGCTTGCTCAACCATCCTGTAATTCTGCTAACTCTAGGCCCAGTCACTGATGCACTTGGTATGGTAGCTCATGGCCCTCTGAGAGCTCAGAACCTGGGTTTCATGTCCTCATCTACGGCTATATAATTTAACAATTTTCCTCTGAATTTGTTGGATTCTACCCCTATATATCTCAAATTTTATTAATATTACTGAATCTTAAAGGAGGCTGTGATGCCTTTAGTCTGTAGAAATATTAACCTATAAACAAAGGACTATATGAGGTTAATGGTATTCAAATTTTTTCTATATGCTTTAAAACATTGAGGGAATATATTGAGAAAGACACCTAAGAAACTGCAACCAATCTACTCTGGACAAAAATTTAGACACCATCTCTTCAAAATAAGCTATATAGTGGTACATATGCATATTTTTACGTATATCAACAATATTTTACATATTCATGACCTCAAAAATAATTAAAAAGTGTAAAATTTACAGACCTCATACGTTTCTGTTGGCTTGAAAAAAATGATACAATATAGATTGTTTCTTTAAAGTAGTCAATAAAATGCACAAATTTCTAGAGTAATCAGTTAAAAAAAAAAGTTCATACCAAAGATAATATTATTAGGAATAAAATAGGGCTCAACACTGCAGGCTCTTAAAGGCAAAAGTTAGTGAAGCCTTGTTTGTGGTAGAGAATCTTGGCCTAAAAACATTATACACATGATCCTCCCCTTCCTTTTCCTGTTGCAAAGATGTGGTGATGAACCAAATTTGCTCATGCAAATGACAATACTCTTGAAAATGGTGGCAGAGAAATAAAATGAAAGGAATGTGGTTCACTTAACAATCTCATAAATTGGAACTTATTACCCCTGTGCCTCTTGACTATCTCCAGACTAATATGTGAGAGACATGAATTGGCTGTTTGCTACCAATATTTTATTCAGTGCTTCATTTTTTCATTCCTTGAATAACTACTTACAGGATCATGAAAGCACAGCTACTCAAGTATCTAAATAATTATGCAACAATTTTTTTCCTCATCACAATAATGGACCAATTATTTTTAAAATACAATACACTGGGCCAGTGAAGTGCCTCACCCCTGTAACCCCAGCACTCTGAGAGGCTGAGATGGGCAGATCATGAGGGAGGTCAGGAGTTTGAGACCAGCCTGGCCAACGTGGTGAAATCCCGTCTCTACTAAAAATAGAAAAATTAGCCAGGCATGGTGGTGTGCACTTGTAATCCCAGCTTCTCAGGAGGCTGAGGCAGGAGAATCGCTTGAACCCAGGAGACAGCAGTTGCAGTAAGTGGAGATCGTGCCACTGCACTCCAGCCTGGGCAATAGAGCAAGACTCTGTCTGGGGGGCAGGGGTGGAGGGGAATACAACATGCTGACAAGTACTCTATTTTTAACTCAGGTTTGGATTGTTGTTTGTTAAGGCCATTGCTTATGATAAAGAAAACAAAAGGAGGAGGAGGAGAAACAAGAACAGACACAAGAAATAGAAGCAGCAGCATAAGAAAATGAAGAGGAACAAGAAAATGATGATAAGCAGAAGAAAAACCAGAAAGAAAAAAAGAAAAAGAACAGATAAAGGAATCAGGAGGCCTATTACACATCTTGTCCCCTTCCTGATTCATGAAATTTTAAAAAGTTCAAGACTACCCTAACAAAAATCAAGCAAAAAGATACACAAATAGTCACCTCCACAAACTTTGTTAATAATGACACAATGGTGCCACTCACGCCTGGCTCAGGCACCCGCAGGAGGATAGCACCCTCCAGATTCTGCAGAAGTGGGGAAGACTCCTCCTTCCCCTGGCTATGCCTCCATTCCTGCCACAGAGGCCCACAGCTTCCTACCCACCCCAGGCCAGGCTGGGACAGGCGAGCCAGTCCCACAGTGCTCCCACCTGCCTTCCTGGGCCCCAGACTTGCTGCTGCTGCCACCACTAGCGCTGATGCCAATACAACCACCACTGATGTTACCCTCAATGCACCAGCCCATCCTATGAGGCTCCTAACACCTGGCCACCACTGCAGCCCTACCTGTGCCCTGACAGCAGCCAGCCACCCTCCTACCGCTCTGTCGCTCTGCAGTCTCCATCACTGCTCTCCTACCGCTTTGGCACTCTGCAGTCCCCATCGCTGCCACCAACCACAGCGAGGCGAGCCACAGTGTCGCAGGCTCTAGCCTCCAGCAAGCAGCAGGTAGTCCCTCCTCTTCGCGCGGAGCAACTGGGCAGGCAAAGCCAGAAAAGCCTAGAACGGGATGCAGAGAGTGGTAGCATTAGAGCCTCACCTTGCCATGCTGGCCACTGGGTGGCAGGTGTCAGTTTCAGTGAAGACACTCACACCCACCCTCTAAAGTCCAGCCTCTCCTTTTGGCCCAAGCTGGCCAGTGACTGGGCCCTGGGGTGGGGACTGGAGACACCACAGCGTCCAGGCTTCCTACTCCATAGGAACTGCTGGGCCCACCCTGGCTGCATTTCCTGGGAAGCAGGAGCAGCAGAAACTCAACCCCAGCCAGCCCTCCCCACCCAAGTGCCGGTTCCCATTCCTGACGCCTCCACCCACAGGGCCTGGTCACCCCGTGGTATCCGCTACTCTATGTGCGGGGGTCCCAGGTGGTCTCTGCAACACGTAGCAAGAGGGCGCAGGCCTGGGAACCATCTCGGGGCTGGGGGCTGGGCCCTGCTCAGGATTCCCCCAGAAACTCGAGCAGGAGGAGATGGCCCTCTGGAGCCTGAGTCAGGGAGAGGAGGACTGCTCCTCTGACCACTGCTGTCACTGACACCTCTGCTGCCTGCTGCCAGGGTGACAGTGCAGCCCCCCGATAGCGCCCCCAACACCCTGCCCCCCATCACCAGCACCTGATAGCGCCCCCAACCTGCCCCTGCCTCGGACACTGAAGCACCTGCTGGCACCTGCAACTTGCCCCCAGCCACGGGCACTGCAGCCCAGGGTAGCAACCTCAATCCGCTCCATGCCATAGACGGTGTAGCCATGAATAGCGGCCCCAACCAGACCACCGCCACTGGCAGTGACGCCCCAATATGGCACCCAAACTACCCCCCACTGCAAGCAGTGCAACCCCAGATAGCGCTCCAATCTGCTCCCACCGGGAGTAGCAGCCCAGGATAGCGCCCCCCATGCACTCCCTGCCTCTGGCAGTGCAGCCATGGATAACGCACCCAACCCACGCCCTGCCGCTGGCAGTGTAGTCCCCAATAGTGCACCCAACCTGCCCCCGCCCCCTGAGCCAACGTGGCCCCAGATAGCATACTCACTGGCTCCCTGACAGGCAGTACAGATCTCTGATAGCACCCAGCCCACCCCCCTCCACCCACCATGGGCAGTGTATCCTCAGTAGCACCCCCAACCAACCCCCCACCCCCTCTCCACGGGCATTCTGGTCCCTGGTAGCACTCCCAATAAACCCCGCTACTTCTGCCTCAGTGTAGCCCCCGATAGCAACCTCAACACCCCCCTCCCTGCCGCCAATAGTGTAGCACCCTATAGTGACCCTAACCCGTCCCCCACCACCAACATTGCAGCCCCAGATTGTGCGCTCAACCCACTCCCTGCTGTAGGCTGTGCAGCCATGGATAGTGCCCCCAACCAGCTCCCAGACGCAGGCAATGATGCCCCAGATACCACATGTCCCACCCACCACAGGCAGAGTAGCACCCAATAGCGCCCCCAACCTGTGCCCAACAAGGGCATTGCAGCACCCGATAGTTCTCCCAACTCACCCCCTGGCCGCAGGCAGTGCATCCCCAGATAGTGCCCCCCAAAACCACCCACTGCCGCTAGCAGTACAGATTGGGATAGTGCCCCAACCCACCCCCAGCCACGGGCAGCACACCCCAGATAGGGCCCCAACCCACTCCCCTCCACAGGCAGTGATGCCCCAGATAGCACACCCAACCAGCCCCTCAACACGGGCAGTGACGCCCTGGATAGGGACCCCAACCCACCCCCCATGCCTCAGGCAGTACCTCCTGGGATAGCGAACCTATCCCACCACCTTTTTACCATCCTGGCTGCACTGTCGTCTTCCTTGCCACCACCAACCACAGCAGCAAGGGGAGCCAAGGCAGGCTCGAGTCTCCAGCGTGCGTGGCAAGTGCCTCCTCCTCCTTCTCCTGTAAGCCTGGAATGGAGCAGCTACACCAGTGGACACTGAAGAGCCTAGAATGAGGAGCCGCCTCACTTGGCATCCTTTATATGTGGAGTTGATGCAAATGAAGTTCCTGGACTACATGTTCTGATTGGACAAGAGAAACCTCTAGGCCTAGTCTGATTGGACTTTGTTATCATGTTCTGATTGGTTATCCTAAGACTTCCTCTCATCCAGTCACAACACGAAAATAAAGCCCAATCATAGTAGACCTAGAGATTTTTCTCTCATCCAATCAGAACATGTAGTCCAGGAACCTAATTTGCATAACCTTTGTAAGCGAGAGTCTTGCCATTCCAGGTTCTTCTACGTCTGCCCGCCCATCTGTTCCGACCCCAGATTAGAGAAGGAGTTGTCACCGGTGGCATGCTGGAGGCTTGAGCCTGCAGCAGCATGGCTCGCCTCACTGTGGCTGGTGGCAGTGAGGTAGAGTACAGCACAGCCAAAGTGGTAGAAAGGTGGCAGAGTAGGTGAGCTATCCAGGGACTTGTGGCGGGGGGAGAGGGGCAGTGAGCTCAGGGGCCAAGGATTGGATGCACTATCGTGAACTACACTGCCCAAGGTGAGGGGGGGATTGGGGGCGCCATCTTGTGTGGGGGGTGTGTTAGGGGCAGTACTGGGTGTTGCACTGCCCACGGTGGGGAATGGTTGGGTGTTATCCCAGGCATCATTTCCTGCAGCAGTGGTGGGGTGGGGGCTTGTTGGGGGCCTATCTGTGGCTGCATTGGTCACACGAGGCTCGAGTTGGGGTGCTGTCTGGGACATCAGTGCCCATGGTGGGGAACTCCTTGGGTGTGATATCTGAGGTGTCACTGCCCATGGCTGGGGGCTGGTTTGGGGCGCTATCTATGGACTACACTGCCCACAGCCAGGAACGTGTTGGGGGCATTATCGGGAGTGGACTGCCAGTGGCAGGGGTGGAGGGACGGGTTGGGTGCTATTGGGGGGCTGCACTGCCCAGCAGGGAGTGTGTCGGGTGCACTATCCGGGGTTGCAGTGCCGGCAGTGGGTGGCAGATTGGGTGCACTATCAGGGGCTACACTGTCGCGTCAAGTGAGGGGTTGGCGGCGCTATCCTGGGCTACACCGCCAGTGATGGGGGGCATGTTAGGGTCGCTATCTGGTGCTGCACTCTCGGCAACGGGGTGGGTGGCGGTTGGGCGACCTACCCGGGCGTCACTGCCCAAGGCTAGGGTCTGCTTGGGGGCGCTATCCCGGGAGTCACTTCCCATGGCGGGAGGCTGGTTGGGGGCACTTTCCGTGGCTGCACTGCCAACATCAGGGAGCAGTTTGGGGGCATTAACCTGGGCTGCACTGCCAATGGCAGGGGGCAGGTTGTGGGCACCATCGGGTGCTGCAGTATCCTAGATGGGGATGAGTTATGGGGCATTATCAGGGGCTGCACTGCCAGTGGTGGGTGGTGGACACGTCAGTGACAGCGGTGGTCTCCAAGAGAGGAGCGGTCCTCCTCTCCCCGGACTCCAGACTCTAGACGGCCACCTCCTCCTGTTTGTGCTGAAGTGTGGCGGGCGCACAGTGTTTCCGCGGGAATACTGAGCATGGCAGGGGCCCTAGACCCACTGTGCTTCCTGGATCCACGTCTTCTTACTCTGTTTAGCAGAGACCACCTGGGATCCCCAGGCATACAGTAGCTGATACCATGGGGCAACAGGGCCCTTTGGGTGGAGGTGTCAGGAACGGGAACTGGCACTTCAGTGGGGAAGGCTGGCTGGGGTTGAGTTTCTGCTGCTCCTGCTCCCCAAGGAGTACAACCCGGCTGAGCCCAGCGGTTCCTGTGGAGTGGGAAGCCTGGGTACCATGGTGTCTCCAGTCCCCACCCCAGGCCCCAGTTCCTGGCCAGCTTGGGCCAAAAGGAGAGACTGGACTTTGGAAGGTGGGTTTGAGAGCCCCTGCCACCCAGTGGCCAACATGACTAAGTCTCTCACACTACTACTCTGCATCCTGTTCTAGGCTTTTCTGGCTTTGCCCATCCAGTTGCTCCGTGCCAGGAGAAGGAGTAGCCACCTGCACATGCTGGAGGCTGGAGCCAGGGACACCACGGCTTGCCTCGCTGTGGTTGGCGTGGTGGCAGCGATGGAGACTGCAGAGTGCCAGAGAGGTAGGAGGGCGGCTGGCTGCTGCCAGGGCCAGGGCAGTGCTGCAGCGGTGGCCAGGTGGTGGGAGCCCTGTAGGGTGGGCCGGTTCATTGAGGGCGGCAGCAGTGGTGGTTGTATTGGCATCGGTGCTAGTGGTGGCAGCAGTAGCAAGTCTGGGGCCTGGGAAGGCGAGTAGGAGCACTGCAGGGCCAGCCTGGGCTGGGTAGGAAGCTGCGGGTGCTGTACTGTGGACCTCTGTGGCAGCAGTAGACGTGCAGCCAGGGCAAGGAGGAGTCTTCTCTGAGGGCACCCTCCTCCTTCTGGGGCCTGAGCCAGGCGTGAGTGGCACCATTGTGTCATTATTAAAGTTTGAGGGGTGACTATTTGTGTATCTTTTTGCTTGTTTTCTGTTGGGATAGTCTTGGACTTTTTCAAATTTCATGAATCAGGGAGGGGACAACAGGTAGAATAGGCCTCCTGAGTCCCTTACCTGTTCTTTTTCCTTTTTTCTAGTCTGGTTTTTCTTCTCCTTATCATTTTCTTGTTCTTTTTCATTTTCCTATGCTGCTGCTTCTATTTCTTCTATGTGTTGTTGTTTCTCCTTCTCCTCCCTTTGTATTATTTATCCCAAGCAATAGCCTTAACAAACAACCATCCAAAACTGAGTTAAAAATAGACTACTTGTCAGTGTGTTGTACTCCCCCCTCCTCCCTGCCGCCCCAAGACAGAGTCTTGCCCTGTGCCCAGGCTGGAGTGCAGTGGTGTGATACCGGCTCACTGAAACCTCTGCCTCCCGGGTTCAAGCGATTCTCCTGCCTCAGCCTCCTGAGAAGCTGGGATTACAAGTGCACACCACCATGCCTGGCTAATTTTTGTATTTTTAGTAGAGACAAGGTTTCACCATATTGGCCAGGCTTGTCTCGAACTCCTGACCTCGTGATCCGCCTGTCTCAGCCTCCCAAAGTGCTGGGATTACAGGCATGAGCCACCTCGCCCTGCCCAGTGTGTTGTATTTTAAAAATTATCGGTCCATCTTTGTTTTAAAGATGAGGAAAAAAATAGTTGTATAAATATTTAGATACTTGAGTAGCTGTGCTCTGAGCACTTCCTAAGCTGCATCCCTTAAGTTCTGGTATGTTACATTTTCATTTTAATTCATCTCTAAGTATTTTCTAATTTCCCTTGTGATTTCTTTGACACATTGGTCGTTTAAGAGCATGTTATTCAATTTCCATATATTTATGAATTTTTGAGTTTTTTCTTCTATTACTGATTTGTAATTTCATTCCATGGTGGTTGGGAAAGATAATTTGATGACTTCAATCTTTTAAAATTTATTGAGACTTGTTTTATGTCCTAACATATAGTCAATCCTGGAGAATATCCATGTGCACTTGGGAAGAATGTGCATTTTGCTGTTGGTGGGTGGACTCTTCTGAATGTCTGTTAGATAGACTTGGTTTATCATGTTGTTCAAGTCCTTTATTTCCTTCTTGACCTTTCTAGATGTTCTGTGCATTACTGAAAGTGGTATATTGAAGTCTCCAACTATTATTATAGAATTACCTAACTCTTCTATCATCATCTATTCAATTCTGTCAATATTTTCTTCATGTATTCTGAAGCTCTGTTGTTTGGTGCATATTGTATAAGAAAAAATGTTATTCTGGCACTTGTTAAAACAGTAATGCAGACCTTATCTGTCACTCTTGCAATAGGTGTAGGGACTACTGCAGTGGGTTTTTGCAGTAGGGGAGAGAGATTGGGTTCAACTTTACAACAAGGAAAAATGGAACAGAGGGTTGGCGAATTAGTAGATGGAAAATTACTAAGCACATAAGGTGATGCTTGCTAAACTAACTAAACAGGATTTTTGCTGAAGACTGGCCAAAGTAATCAGATATCACCTGAAGAATGGTGGGAGATGAGGAGGATGATCATATATCAAAGGTGATCTGATATTGAGGGTGGGGGAGTCTGGCTAAATCAATTTGACAGGATTCTTGCTAAAACTGGGTGATGCAAAGATGAACACAGAAGCCCAAAGCTTGGGCCTAGTCAAACAGAGGGCTCAGAGGAGCCTGACTAAAGTTTGTTTGAGAGGATCTTTATCAATATATGTTTATAATTGTTATATCTTAATGAACTGACCCTTTTATCAACATATAATGTTGTTGTTTCTTTTAGCAGTTTTTGTTTTGTTTTGTTTTTTTTGAGATGGAGTCTCACTTTGTCACTCAGGCTGGAGTGGATCTCAGCTGACTACAGCCTCCACCTCCCAGGTTCAAGTGATTCTCCTGCCTCAGCCTCCCCAGTAGCTGGGACTACAGGTGCCCACCACCATGCTCACCTAATTTTTGTATTTTTAGCAGAGATGGGGTTTCACCATGTTGGCCATGCTGGACATGTGCTCCTGACCTCAAATGATCCACCCGCCTTGGGCTCCCAAAGTGCTGGGATTACAGGCATGAGCCACCACACCCAGCCCTCTTTCAACAGTTTTTATTTCAGGTCTTGTTTTCTGATTTTTTCTCATATTGCCCAACTGTCTTTTGGTTATCATGGAGTCTCTTTTTCCATCCCTGCACTTTCGATCTATTTGTGTCTTTGGATCTAAAGTGAATGCTTCATGAATAACACAGTTGAATCATGTTTTTATTACCCATTCTGATGATCTCTGCCTTTTGATGTAATTCATTTACATTCAAACAAATTACTGATAAGAAAGAACTTATTTCTGCCATTTTGCTATTTGTTTTCTGTATTTTATACCTTTTTGGTCTCATTTCCTCCATTACTGCCTTCTTTTGTGTTTAGTTGATTTTTCATAGTAAACTTTTTATTTTCTCATTTCATTTTATGTATATTTTTAGATATATCCTTTGTGATGACCAAGGGGATTAGATTTAACATCCTAAAGTTACCACAATCTCTTTTAAATTGATATCAACTTAACTTCAGAAGCATAGAGAACTCCACTTCTTTTTTTAATGCAGTTTTTACGTTATTGAGGTATGGTGAGGCCAACAGATCAGAAGACAACTGCCATTGAAAAGACAGTTTGTAACTTAACAGTTCCCAAGGCAAAGGGGCATGCCACACCACAAAAATCTACATGGGGAAGCCCCAGGGTTGCTCAGGAGGCAGGGGAATGGGAGAAAAACATGGGCAAGAGCATTTATTATGGTTTTGTGGGAAGAAATGCATAAAGCAAGGTAAGCAGGATTGGCTAGTTTGAATAATTTCAGAGGGCTCTGGGGCATAGGGGAGGAAAGGGATGAAAAGTGAAGATGGAGACTGGTGATGTATGTTCACTGAGGTCCATAAAATAACTGGACCAGGAAATAAGGAATGAGGGGAGATGAATGGGCACAAAGAGAGAATAAGAGAAGGTAAAGGGGCCAGAAGAAAGGTTGAGAAAGAGATGGATGGACTTTTAAGGAAATGATGGTGCAATTCCTGATCAACAGCCTGATGGTGTCCTGCAGCCCTTTGAGCTAACTATAGGAAGTGGAAGGGATTTGTTCTAAGCATGTAGATGTTGGGTAAGATATGGTCAAGTTGGTATGGCCCCAGGAGGAGAGAACAAGGTCTGAAAGGAAGAAGTTTATTATACTCTCAGATCCCAGAGAGGGGATAGTCATATGTCACACAGGGACATAGGGAAAGCACTGGTGTCATTAGGAGGCAGAAAGGAGTAAAGGAATGGGCCAGCACCTTAATTGGAGTTTCCTTGGGAAAGGCAGAACAGGGCAGAGTAAATGGTTTAGGATCGACTAGTTTGAACAATTCCAATGGGCTTTGGGCTATTGAATTGGTCTCTAGTTGCCTGGTGCCTGGCCCTAGGATTATTCAGTGCAGAGGAAATACTGGCTTAGTGTGTGGAAGTTGGATTTGGGGTGATAGACTTGGGATTGGTTGGTTTGTATATGAAAGACATGCTCCCAGGCAAGCTCTTTACTACCTGTAAGATAGAAAAGCAGACCTTGCTATCTGTAAGGTAGAAAAGCAGAAGCTGCTTTGACCTCCCTGGGAAGAGCAGTCTTTCCCTGAGTCTGCAAGATCCCCCAAATACCAGAGCATCAAGAATACAGAAAATAATAAACATATAGTTCATTGGCCTTGTGATAAATTGATACCAACTAGACAAATAAAGAATCTTAAGAAAACACAGAACAGGATCTAATCAGTTTGACAAAGGTTAGGGTAGGTGATCTCGGTTCCAAGTGGTAGCACCTAACACTTCTAGCTGACAGATGTGTATTTTTTGTTGAACCATTTTCTTAAGAGGAAATTCTTTTTATTTAAATTTAATTAATTCTTTTAATTACACCTGTGAAATCCCAATTATGTTGTCATATAATCCCACTGAAAAAATCATAATGTTAGTATTGACTGGTTTCAGGGTAGCTTAGAAAGGAGCTGAGAGTGGTTCCTGTGTATAAACATGGTTCAAAAGGTAAAGGGATGGCTTGTTCTCATGGAAGGAAGGAAATCCACAGAGCACTATTTGTAGTGCCTTCTCAGTCTCCTGAAGCGAGGCAGAGGAGAGGGAAAAGTGGAGAATTTCACTTGGCTGGCGTTCCCTAGAGGACTGGATCTGACATGAAGCTTGTGTTATGTTTTGAGTTTTGAGAGGCTAAAGGGAAAGGAAGAAAAGCCACTGGATGGGTGGACAGTGGAAAATGTCTAGACTGTCCTGGATTCGGTTTCTGGTTTTGCCAGTGATTTGCTGTGTATATTTTGGCAAATTATTTAGTCTCAACTGTGTATTTTGTTTTTTTGAAAAATGAGGACCTTGGTGCTTGTAGCATCTACCTACCTCCTGTCGTTGTGATGAGGACACTTTGAAAACGGGATGGGAGCTACATATGCAAAAGATGCCATACAGATGCTATATTAACCTGCATTATAGTCCCACAAATTAAAATGTATTCCTTTGATAAAAATAAAAACATTAAAACCCCATAACATCCTGATTCCCTGTTCTCCAGAGATTCTGGACAAATACTAAATATATCTATGGTGAGCTTAGTTGGCACAAGATATGGGTCAGGAAGCAGGAGGCCAGGATAGTTGATAATTGGATCTAGCAACTTGAACAATTTTTAAAATATAGGTAAGTTTAGAGATTATTTCAACTGCAGAGCCACTAGTAAACATGAGGTGAGTAACTCTGCCTGTACAAAGCCCCGTTAGAATAGACTGAGCTACTTAGGGTGAGCAAATGATAAATTATGCTACAATAATTTCAGGGGCACTATTCATTTCCCCAAATTGAAGATGGTATTCTAGGCCGGGCGCAGTGGCTCACTCCTGTAATCCCAGCACTTTGGGAGGCTGAGGCGGGTGGATCATGACTTCAGGAGATTGAGACCATCCTGGCTAACACGGTGAAACTCCGTCTCTACTAAAAATATGAAAAATTAGCCAGGCGTGGTGGCACATGCCTGTAATCCCAGCTACTTGGGAGGCTGAGGCAGAAGAATCGCTTGAACCCGGGAGGCGGAGGTTGCAGTGAGCGGAGATCAGGTCACTGTACTCCAGCCTGGGCAACAGAGCAAGACTTAGTCTCAAAAAAAAAAAAAAAAAAAAAAGAAGATGGTATTCTCTATGGGGTTGAATGACTGCCTATCTGTCCTCAATTTATAGAACTGAAAAATCATGCCTTATCAGGCAGAAAAAACTTCTTTAAATATAGATGCCTATTTCAAAAGGAATCTTTCAAAATGCAAAGCCTGGCCTCTGTCCCTACAGAGTGAAGTTGGTCCTGGGGCCTTTGACCTACCTGAGAGCACTACTTTGCTTGTGTGTAGCTGTGCCCGGCATTGCTGTTCCCTCAGTGACATTCCTTCTTTGGAACTCACTGGAACGCACTCTTACCTAGTGCTGAAGTCACCATCTTCTAAAAGAGGTGCTGCAGCTTGTGTTTTCTTGTCCTTCTTCACAAAAGTGAACCTCGAGAGAAAAGCATAAGTGAGCTTGCCTGGATGAAAGGGGTTTCTTAACATCCTTCCTATCCTGTCCAAAGAAAATCTCACCTAACCTCCAAATTGTAATTTGATGGATGAAGTTGTTTCAGTGAGGTGGCATTGTCTTGGTAGTTTGGTGGGGATGGGATTAGGGAGGTGTGGATGAGGTCAGTGGGGCCGGTGTTGTGTGACTGGCTCCAAGGGACTCAGGTAAGTACAATTCAGCCCCAGAGCCCCATGTTGCATCCTTAACCCAGCCAGCTTTTGAAGTCCTGAGAGCCACTCAGTGAAAGAACAGGCAATTTAATACCATGTATCCCATGCTTGGAAAACTGGTAGCAAAAACCCATCTGATAAAGGGACCTTCTTCACACAAGAGTGCTGGCAGCTCACGCACATGCAGTTCAGAACCAGACCAAGGGCTGCTTAGAGTAGTGATTCTCCAGCTATAGCTTGCATCAGAACCCCTGGAGGGCTTGTTGAAACACAGATTTTTGGGATGCACCCCCTCCCCTGACATTTCTGATTTTGTAGGTCTGGAATAGGGCCTGAGAACGTGCGTTTCTAACAAGTTCCCAGATGATTTTGCGGCTGCTGGTCTGAAGATCACATTTTGAAAACCACTATTTAGAGTTAACTTCTAAAGGGGCTTCATTTCCTCACCAACACTGGAAGAATGGAGAAACCTTTTCCCCAGTTCCTCCTTTGAGATTTGTAGAGCTGTGTTAGGACCGAAAGCCTTTTCTGAAATCAAAGGTGTGTAGGTATGGCTGAGGTACATTACAGCACCCAGGGAAAGAAAACTCTGACCCCATTGACTTTTAGGGCCCATCTGCTTAATTCTGGCCCCTCCTCTACGTGTCCAGTGCCTGTCACTTTTTTTGGAAATTATTTTTATTTTTTAAATTCACAAATAATAATTATATATACTCATGGCATACAACATATTTTTATATATGTACATATTGTGAAATGACTAAATTAAGGTAATTAACATCTATTACTGCACATATTTTTTTGTGGTAGAACACTCACACTACTCTCAGCAATTTTCAAGTATATGTTATATTGCTATTAACTATAATTGATACATTGTACAATTGATTTTCTGAACTTATTCCACCTAACTAAACCTTTGTATCATTTGACCAACATCTCCCCAGTCCCTCCCTCCCCCAGCCCTTGATAACCATCATTCTACTCTCTGCTTCTGAGTTTGACTTTTTAAGATTCTACATATCAGTGAGATCATGTGGTATTTGTCTTTCTGGGGCAAGGCCTGATATTTTACAAGCTTGACTTTTGTGTTTGGTACTCATTAAATAGTTTATATGCACAACTCCCCACCCACACTGGTTCTCAAAGTCAGTCTCACAGGTGTAATATTTTTTCAGGCAGTAGGGTGAGGGGGAAAGCAGTAATGTTTATTGGGCATTTTCTACGGACCGGGCCTTTTAAGCAGTATCAATTGACCTCACCTAATCTTTACAACAGCTCTGTGAAGTCTGCATTATGCTTGGAGGAACCTGAGGTTCAGAGAGTTTTAGGGACTCAGCCAAGGTGAGGAACTTGGTGGTCATGGTGTAGGGGTTGACAGTCCCTCCTCCCTGCTGCAGAATGTCCCAAAGCAGCCTTCTAACAGTGATACAACATCTCTCCTTCAATTCTGAAGACCCTGGAATGGGGATGGGATGTAGACAAGTTAGAAGACCAACACCTATTGAGCACCTACTTATTTAAATAAATGTTATACTGATAAATGCTGTCAATGTATAACATTTAAATCTGTGAGCCAGGCATTTATGTCTCTGTTTTCAGATGAAAAATGAAGGTTCAAGGACATTGATCACGTTGCTCGGGGTATATCTGTACTCTGAGCCTTCTCCTCAGGTTGGTCTAGGTGGATATCTTCTCCTGACCAAAAACTGATAGGAGTCAAATATTTTCACGGTCAAAGCAGCTTCTGCTTTTCTACCAAGGCTCTTCCAAAACTTCTGGGAATGGATAACG
This sequence comes from Homo sapiens, assembly GCF_000001405.40. Lineage (NCBI taxonomy): Eukaryota > Metazoa > Chordata > Mammalia > Primates > Hominidae > Homo > Homo sapiens. The sequence continues at coordinate 32,111,895 of NC_000022.11, read as the reverse complement.
ATGTTTTCTGGTTCTACTTCACCCTGAGCACAAGGGAACCTGGTCCTTGAATGAACCTGCACTCAAAAAATCAAACTAAACACCGGATAGTTTAGATTGGCATAAATGCAAATCAGAGTGTTGGGCTTTGCTTGTATTTGCTGACATGCTATAGTACCAGAGTCAAGGTGCCAGGGTCCTGGGAGCAACAAATGCATTCCCATTGATTTATTGTTGAAAAACCCTCTGATCAGCCTACCCAAAGGCCCTGCCCTACCCTGCCTTGCCTCACCTACATACGTTCAGTTTGTAATTCTTTTTCCTTTTGCTGCACAATAACTGCTTCCGTTTACCTTTTTCACGGGAGACTCTGGCTTGGAAATCTCCAAAATGCATACTTTATCTGTGTTGTGGGTTTGTTTAGTATCTCTTCAAGACTCACTTGCTGACTTCCTAACCCTCAGTTTCTCACAGTGTGACTGTATTTGGAGGTAGGGGCTTTAAAGAGGTGATTAAAATGAAGACATTAGGGTGGGTCCTATTCCAATATGACTGATGTCCTTATCAGAAGAGTAGATTTAGGACACAGACAAAAGGAAGGCCACGGAAGACAGAGTGAGATATGACCATCTGCAACCAAGGAGAGAGGCCTCAGAAGAAACCAACCCTGCTGACATCTTGGCCTCCAACTTCTAGCCTCTAGAACTGTGAGAAAATAAATGTCTGCTGCTTGAGCCATCTGGTCTGTGCTACTTTGTTATGGCATCCCTAGAAAACTAATATAATCAGTTTGACAAATGCATCCCAAGTCATTAGTAACCAGTGAGCATACTTTGTGTAGCCACAAGAAAAGGTTAACTAAGGGCCAGGCTCATGTAAAAAGCAAGCAAAGATTTAAAAATAAATGCCTATGTCATTCATTTATTCAACACGCATTGCTGAAAATCTAAGACATTCCAGGCACTGTGAATGCCAAAATGAGTGGAATCCCAAACACGGGGAACTCACAATGGACATTTTAAGAAGCCCAGAAAATCCCCTGGATTCAGGCTATCTGCCTCCCCCACTAGCTTGAGGCTGGGGCCCGGGTCCCTCCCTTTTGTGGAAGTACTACCTTCCTCAGGCCTCCACTTCAGAGAGCAAACACCCAGGACAGGGAGCCCATCAAGCTCCATCCTCAGCTTCCATGCATTCCTCAGTTTACCTGATTGACACACTTGAGAGGGAAAGTCCAGGCAAAACTCAAGAGGGATATGATGAGGGGAAAACAGCTTTCTTTTAAAAAAAAAATGGGGAGGAGGACGGACAGGAAAAGTGGCAGGAACCAGGGAGACCAAAGTTTCTAAAACAATATTCAAGGATTATAAACCACACTGACACCCGGAATCTACCTGAGACAGACTCACGTCAGACATCAATCACATGGCTTCTGATTCTTAGTCTGCCTTTTTCTGGATGTGACTGAGTGGACTTCCCTTCTGCAGCTCCAGTAGGTACAGATGGCTGTATCACACTGGCTTCAAATGCATAAATTAACAGCAAACTAATGGTTTTCTTCCAGCTAGCCTATAATTACACATGTACACATTTATCCACCTGGGCAAAATTTACAACTGGCTGATTTCCCTTCAACACCACAGGACGAGACTAAAGGAAGGTGAGTAAGAGTCCAGCCATGGTAAATCTACAGCAAAAGGTAGGACTCAGGCAAAATATGCATGGCAAAAGACAGCCACGGTCACCAGGATGATGCCATTGACGTTCAACACTGTCCTCCACAAAGGCTTCTCAGAGGTGTCCGTCATCTTCATCTTCATGGCTTTCTCCTCTTCCTCAGTCATCTTGGGTGCACCGTGCTGCTCTAGCCCACAAAATAGGTCATAGGCTCTCCTGAAGATTCCTTTTTTCTTCTCAGGAACTTGTGTTTCTGGGCAAAGGCATAGAAGAATTATTGGACACAGAAGCAGGATGGACTAGAAAAGTTTTCAGGGGAGAAGCCACACCATGAAGCATCTGCTATTCTGCAGAAATTTCCCAAAAATGAGAAATTTCCCCAAATTTCCCCCATATTTTCTTGTTTTAAGGAATGAAAACGGTAGAAAATGTTCCAACAAACTTAATGACAAAATGGTCTTACTATCTGCATCCTTAGGATCAGCTAGTCTAAGTTTTATCTCTATCAGGCCCAATGCAAATTCATTTTGATTTGGAACAGTCAGATCAAATAATAGTTTATAATAAAGACACATTAATAATAGGCTGGGGAATTGTGCCATAGGAAGGAAAACTCAACTCTGAAACACAAAATCTCATATCTGTTCACTACATCACCAGAAAGCAGTCTGGCTGGCATGATTCAGGAGTGCGTTGGTTACATCTGTCCATTCTAAGGCTTCACAACAGACCCAGCCAGGTGGTAAGAACTGGTCTGAACAGCTCCTGTTGCGGCGCAGCAATGAGCAATACTTCCCAGGCTTAGGATCTAATGTCACATATCAGCACTGCTTAATCAAACTGTCCACACCTGGCCCTGATGCTCAAATTGAATACCCACCAAGGGAACTGATTCCCTCCTCTGAGCCCAGGCGTGGCCCTGGAGGTAGACAAACCTGGTTTCAAATGCCCACTCTGGCACTCACTAGATAAGAGATCAAGCCCACTGTGTTTTCAGCACCACAGTCACAGACCCTGCAAAGCACTTTCCCATTTTTACAAGTCACTGAATTTTATCTTTATTTTTTAAGAGACAGAGTCTTGCTCTGTTGCCCAGGCTGGAGTGCAGTGGGGTAATCATAGCTCACTGCAGCCGTGAACTCCTGGGCTCAAATGATCCCCCCCACCTCGGTCTCCTTAGTAGCTAAGCTGGGACTAAAGGTGCATGCCACCATGTCCAGTTAAATTTTTTTTTGTAGAGTATCTGAGTATGTTGCCCAGGCTTGTCTTGAACTCCTGGACTCAAGCAATACTCCCACCTTGGCCTCCCAAAATGTTGGGATTACAGATGTAGGTCACCATGGCCAGCATCACAGAATTTTAGCTTTAAAACATCACAGAATTTTAGAACTGGAAAGAATCTCAGTGACCAAGTTCACACGAGTCAGAATTGGGACCAAAACCTGGCTTTATGGTCTTGTTAATTCACCTCCCTTATCTTCATGTATCAGAAGAATTGGATAAATAATACCTTCTTCATTGTACTAATGAAGAATTTAATGATTTAATGAGAGAGCCTCTAGCTCTTATTGGGGTAGAGCCTCTCTTATTGTGGTAGAGCCTCTACCACAATGAGACCTTTTGACACTCAAAATACTCCTAATCCATGTCCCTTGACACAGTAGATGTCAAAAAGTGTAGGTCTCTTTCTATTCTCTCTTTTGTCTCACACACTCACACCTCTCCCCTTTGACTCACTCCACCAAAATAGCAGAGTGGGAAAGAAGGAGTAATAAGCTAGGATCACTGATGACCTCAAGTGAGAAATACATGACTTTCTGGGCCAATAAAAAGTTGAATGGCCAGCTGGTGTGGTGGCTCATGCCTGTAATCCCAACACTTTGGGAGGCCAACATGGGTGGATCACGAGGTCAGGAGATCGAGACTATCCTGGCTAACATGGTGAAGCTCCGTCTCTACTAAAAATACAAAAAAATTAGCAGGGCATGGTGGCATGTAGTCCCAGCTACTCGGGAGGCTGAGGCAGGAGAATGGCGTGAACCCGGGAGGTGAAGCTTGCAGTGAGCCGATATTGTGCCACTGCACTCCAACCTGGGTGACAGAGTGAGACTCTGTCTCAAAAAAAAAAAAAAAATTGAATGGCCTTAGGAAATTCTCTGTGTCACATTTTCCTGTTCTGGAAAGGAAGGAAAATTGGAAGAATTGTACTTGCGTTATCTGCCTTAAGAGGATGATGCATTGCTGAAATGAATCACTAAAGTGTTTATAATTAAAACATGTTATGATCATATCATTATCGATGATGGTGGTGGTGGTGGTGGTGGTGAGGATGATGATACTGGGACAGTGATGCACCTGCAAAGCTTCCTTGTGTTGCTGTTTCTCAGAGAATGGTGAATGTGACATTCATGGTCTGTAAAATCCCTAAAGATAGCTTAGTTTATTGTGCTTTAATAGGGTAGGATGTTCAGTCTGATTTCACCCTAAGTTCATGAAGACACAACAGAATTTGAGTGCTGCCATGAACCTCAGAGGTCACCAAGTCAAATCTCTAGCCAGTACGGAAGTTCCCTCTACAGAATCCTTGACAGATGTACACATACTGCTCATCCCTGTCCAGACCAACTCAATTAGAAACTCTTCCTTCAAAGCAATCATGATGGTGGTAAATATAGACAATTCTTACAGCAGAGCATAAGAGGCATGGGTTTTCATTTAGAATACTTTTATGTGATGAATCTGAGCTTTAGAACAATGGAATCACTTTCCCAGAGTATTAGGAAGAGAATTGATGATGATTAAATCCCAGTTCTTCCTGATTCCAAATCTCACAGTCTATCTCTGCACTATCTTGCCTCCTTACTCTGAGTTAAAATCGGATGAATTCTTTTCACCCACCAGTGTTAAGTCTGCCTTCTGGCATAAAAATAATCTCTTCTTCCACAATAAGATCTTTTGACACTCAAAATACTCCTAATCCATGTCCCTTTAAAATCTATGATATTCTTACACAGTGTGGAGACATTTTTGGAGGTAGGAGAAGTAGAGGGCATGTTCCTGCCTGCCTGCCCCAGGGAGGCAGGAAGGGGCTGTTTTCAGCACCATGGCCAGCTGCTGTGGCTCCAGGCTCTCTCCAGTATTTGCAGTCACAAGTTTTAGAATTGAAAGGTACTCGAAGATCAAGAGCAGATTGTAACAAAGCTGAGACCTTAGGCACAGCCTCTCCCTCCCTAAGCCTCAATTTACATGTCTATAAAATGAGATGATAAGACCAAATGATCTCTAGGGCTCTTTCCCCAGGTAGGATTCTATGATGTTCCTGATGGCCAGATTGAGAATCTGTTCTGAGCTACACCTGTGCTCTCCTTCAGATGGAGTGATATGAGGCCTCCAGCCCAGCACCAGGTAAAGCACATATGACCTTGAGCCCCCATAGCTCTGCACACCACACACCTCCACAACCATCCTCCACGTGTGCACGTTTCCCACATAGAGAGGAAAAGTTGCAATACTGAAGTAGAAGAAAGTATTAACTTACAGGATAAGTCTCTGGGCACTGACTAAGCGTTATTTCATTGGTCTTCGAGAGAAATTTGATTTTCTGCATTTGATATTGTAAGCCAGTATGACATAAGATCCCAAGGGCTTCTATCCCCTCATCTTGATGTCACTAGAACTGGCCATAGCTTTGGTTCCATCTGCCCTCAGTTCACAGGCTATGTCAGAAGAGCTCCAACTCTTCTCTTATCCCTGGCCATTCCTCAAATCAAGGCAGGGTGGCAAATTCCTCACCCACACTTACTCACTGAGTGCTGTCAAATATGAGGGGTAAGAATCCAATCAAAAATGGTCTAAAGATTTTAATAGACGTTTCTCAAAATATGATATATAAATGGCTAATAGGCACATAAAAATGTGCTCAACATCATCAATCATAGAAATGCAAATCAAAACTACAATGATATATCATCTCATCACAGTTAAAACGGCTTATATCCAAAAGACAGGCAATAACAAATGCTGGTGAGGATGTACACTGTTGGTGGGAATGAAAGTTAGTATGACCAGTATGGAGAACAGTTTGGAGGTTCCTCAAAAAACTAAAAAGACAGCTACCATATAATTCAGTAATCCCACTGCTGGGTATATGCCCAAAAGAAAGGAAATTAGTATATTGAAGAGATATCTGCACTCCTATGTTTGTTGCTGCACTGTTTACAATGGCTAAGATTTGGAAGCAACCTAAGTGTCCATCAACAGATGAATGGATAAAGAAAATGGGTACATATACACAATGGAGTACTATTCAGCCATAAAGAAAGAATGAGACCCTGTCATTTGCAACAACATGGATGGAACTGGAGATCATTATGTTAAGTGAAATAGGCCAGTCACAGTAAGACAAACATCTCATGTTCTCACTTATTTGTGAGATCTAAAAATCAAAACAATTGAACTCATGGACATAGAAAGTAGAAAGATGGTTACCAGAGGCTGGGAAGGGTAGTGGGGGTCTGGGGATGGGGTAGGGATGGTTAATGGGTACAACAAAAAAATAGAAAGAATGACTAACCTACTATTTGATAGCACAACAGGGTGGCTATAGTCAATGAAAACTTAATTGTACATTTTAAAATTAAGAGTGCAAGGCCGGGTGTGGTGGCTTATGCCTGTAATCCCAATACTTTGGGAGGCCAAGGCGGGCAGATCACCTAAGGTCAGGAGTTTGAGACCAGGCTAACCAACATGGAGAAACCCCATCTCTACTAAAAACATACAAAATTAGCCGGGCGTGGTGGTGCATGCCTGTATTCCCAGCTACTCAGGAGGCTGAGGCAGGAGAATCGCTTGAACCCAGGAGGTGGAGGTTGCAGTGAGCCGAGATTGCGCCATTGCACTCCAGCCTAGGCAACAAGAGTGAAACTCGGTCTCAAAAAAAAAAAAAAAAAAAAATTAAGAGTGCAACTGGATTGTTTGCAACTCAAAGGATAAATGCTTGAGGGGGTGGACACCCCATTCTCCATGATGTGCTTGCTTGCAGGCATGATTGCATGCCTGCATCAGAACATCTCACGTACCTCATAAATGTATACACCTACTACGTACTCACAAAAATTTTTTAAATATGAGGGGTGAGGGAGCTTGAATGATTCTGTACCCTTTCTTTCCCTTGAACTCAGAGTTAACTTCCCCAAACCCACTTATCCATCTCATCCCCACCCTACTCCTCACTGCCCTGGAGGGGAGACATCTGAGCTCTGATAAAATTATTTAGGGAAGAACTTCAGTAAAGTCTTGTTGTTGTAGGAGTAACTTTTATGGTTTAGGATCTGCTCTGGGTCATAAGTCACCTATTTCAATGGTCTCCTTAGGGCCTTCTTGGATGTTCTCCTCTTCCGCATCCAGGTCAATACGCTCCTCTTTGCTGTTGCGCAGGCTCCAACACAGACGGTAGAGCTGCAGAGAAGGCAGAACAGGTCAACAGAAAGATCCAAATAGCATCTTGGGACAAGAAGTTGGGGGGGCAAAGAGATATGCATCAAGGAAGGGAAGGGAATGTGGCATCTCAGTACCAGGAAGAACATACACAACGATTCTCATCCATAACATTATCTCTAAAAACATTGGTAACTTAGATAAAAGTAATATACATGTATATACTAGCCTCTATGATATATGCATATTCAGAGCTAAAAGATTGCCTCATATGGAAATGTTTGTTGAATGAACTCTTTTACGTGTGTGTGTGATAAATAATTTGTTCCTTTTAGCACTGGCAGTAGGAAGCAACAAGACAACCATTTGTCCAGGTTAGGAGTGTAAGTTCAGATTTTTGCACTATGTCACATTATGTGGATAAGAAGCTAGAATCATGAGCCATAATAGAATATGGTAGAGCTGAAGGCACAGTTTCTATTGACATAGTCAAGAGCATGAACCAAATACTTGATCTAGAGCATGAACTCGGTCTAGGGCATCAACTAGAAATGTGTTTGGGTTGTAATACTTTCAAAGACTTGAGACATGAGGAAGCAGTTGATACAACACAAAGAAAGCCTGTGACAGGTCCAGCAAATAGATGTGATTCAGTTCTGCTGCCATAAAAGCAGTCTTTGTTTGACGTTAGGTTTGTCACAGCTCTTAAAAATTTGGCAATGAAGTTGAAGGTCTCTTAGGGATTCCATAGTCTGTGCATGCATGAGTAAAGTAAAGGATTAACAAAATCCTTCTGTTTTCTAGGAATAAATATGACCTTGGGTTAACTTTCTGGCTCTGTTCCCTTGGAAACCTGGAAATCTGTGTTGGGTTACCAGACTACTAATAAAAATGGCTCATAATTGGTCATCTTTATCTAAATTGGGAGAGCCATGAATGAATTCTAAACCAATGGGGGCATCTAGAGTTAAAGAAGAGTAATTGCAACTTTTGAAGTCTTGAATCAATTAGACTTTGATATTGTTAGAAATGTTTTACATCCTATGGTCAATTTTTGGTGGACTAATTTGGAAAAAAAAATCAAGAGGCAAACTATATTTTGGGTTTCCCTGAGTAGACTGATTTTTGTAACTAGGTATGTGCTTTGTTGGGACCTTTGAAAGCTTTGACCATGGGACTGTCAAAAGAAATACCAGTTTCTATTTGGAACATAGGCTTCTAAGCCAGGTAGCCCTGTACCACCCATGTGATCTTACGCACCTGAGCTGTCACTTGGGGAGCAGGTTTCAGAGAATAAGCCCTGGAATAAAGGGTGGACAACTGTGAGGACTCTGACTAAAGACATGGGCTTGATATCAGCCTGTTGGCACACCATGTTTCCTGGCATGTATCCTTCCACGTGAAACCAATGGCAAGTCATGTGAATGTGAATATAAGATGTATAATTTTGCTGAGGCTGACCAAGAATGTTGTGGCATGTCAACATCACTAATCATCAGAGAAATGCAAATCAAACTATAATGAGATATCATCTCACCCCATTTAAAATGGCTTTTATCAAAAAGGCAATAATGAATGCTGGTGAGGATGGGGAGAAAGGGGAATCCTCAAACACTGTTGGTGAGAATGTAAATTATCACAGCCACAATGAAGAACACTATGGAAGTTCCTCAAAGAACTAAAAATAGAGCCACCATATGATCCAGCAATTCTACTACTGGATATATATTCAAAAGAAAGTAAACCAGTATATCAAAGAGATACCTGTATTCCTATATTTACTGCAGCACTATTCACAGTAGCCAAGATATGGAATCAATCTAAGTGTCCACTGACAAATGAATGGATAAAGAAAATATTGTACAAATATACAGTAGAGTATTATTCCACCATAAAAAGAATGAGATCCTGTATTTGCAACAACATGGATGGAACTGGAGGCCATTATGTTAAGTAAAATAAGCCAGGCATAAAAAGACAAATTTCTCATGTTCTCACCATATATAGGAGCTAAAAGTTTTAAAAACCAAACTCATGGAGATAGAGAGTAGATTGATGGTTACCGAGGCCAGGAAGGGTAGCAGGGAATGGAGGACAGAATGGAGATGGTTAATGGGTACAAAAATACAATTAGAATGAATTAAAATCTAGTAGTTGGTAGCACAATAGGGCAGCTATACGTAATTTATTATATACATATAATTTAAAGACAGAGTCTCACTATGTTGTCAGGGTGGTCCCAAACTCCTGGACTCAGGTGATCCTCCCACCTTGGCCTCCCAAAGTGCTGGGATTACAGGCATGAGCCACCATAATCTGTATTTTAAAATAACTAAGAGTGGAATTGGAATGTTCCTAACACAAAGAAATGATAAATGCTTGAGGCAATGGACACCCCAATTACCCTGATTTGATTATTTTATATTGTATGCCTGTATCAAAACATTACATGTACCCCATAATTATATACAACTATTATGTACCCATAATAATGAAAAATTTAAAAAAAATTAAAGAACATTGCAGTGTGAACATGAAACAAGGACAGATCCCCTAAATGGATACTCACATGCACATCCGGAATGGGTTTGGTGAGGAGGGAGATGACCACGATGGTGATGAAAGAAATGGCGAAGAGGATAATGGCAAAGTACAAGTAGTGCACCCCACAGATAATCGTGGGACAGTTGCTGGGCTCCATGCAGCTCCCGGTTCCATAAGCAAACTCAGTAATCATACGTGAAATCCCAATCAGAAGTCCTAGGATCAGTCCCCAAAAGGCTCCCTGTGAAAGAAAACCCTGGGTTAACTCATGCTGAACACACAAAACAGATGGCCTTTCTAACATTCTTTGGAGAGGCATAGGCAGAGGCAAAGGAACAGAGGTAGGAGAAGTGGTAGCTCCAGGCTGTCTGAACCCAGAACACTGAAGTTCAGAATATGGCTAGGAGTGCTATGCACTCAGACAGACACACTCAGTGTGTCTGTCTATCATGTTTCAGCAACATGATTTCACCTCGATCATTAAACAAGGAGCCATAATATAATGGGGTAAAGTGTCTAATAACTGGAATAGAATGTCAACCTACAGACTTGATTCCAAAAATTCCCTTTAACTTGAAAAATAATTTGAGCCTCTCCACCTGCAGCTACTGTCAACACCAATCTCCAGATTTAGGCATATTCAGATGAAAAGTAATTACTTGTGAGGTAATTTGTATTTCACAAAGACATGGGAAAAGAAATTGGGTCTTTGGAAGATGAAGGAGAAAGAAACTTTTCCATCAAAATATAAATAACACTTACTTTTTTAGCCCTCTTTGTAGTTTATTTTATGAACTATTTTTAGTTTGAGAACATAAAATTATACTGTGTTTTTACATTAAATTTTGGGTCTGCATATTAGAATATGGAAGACTTTAAGAGACCAGAAACATGAGGGGATGATTTTTCAGGGTTTTTTTTACTCCTTCCTTCCTTCCCTCCTTCCTTTTTTCCTTTCTATCTTTCCCTTAGGTAAGTCCTCACCTAAAGGACTAGGTTTGAGTTTGGCAGGCCAGTGGCAAAATAGAATGTGCTCTTAGAAGGGTGGCCCAAAAGAGCTTTCACAGTTTTATCAGGTGCTGGTCAGCCTCTTTGCTAGCCATTGGTATCCCTGCACTTTCTATTCCAAATTATCAGCTATCCCCCACACATGGCATGGCATGTGTTTTTGTCTCCAGGTCTTTGTACAGCTCATTCTATCTGGGAGAATACAGGCTCTTCTCTTCCTGGTAACCTCATTCTAGCTTAAATAGGACAAGCTACACAGGGTGGGTGCACCCTTTCTTGCTGTGGCCACAGCACTGTGGACACAGATCCAGGCAAGCACCAACCACACTGCCATGGAATCACAATAGTTCTCTGTCTCCCAATCTGAACCGGGGGATTGCCCAGGAAAGGAAACAGGTTTCATTCACTTTGTGTTGCTAGTGCCTCACCCTATGCTGGCATCTGGAAGTGACTTCTAGATGAAGAAATAAATAAGGAAAAAGAAAAAAATATGTTCCCTATTCATCCCCCATGCACTATTTCACTCAAAAAAATTATTTCTTAGCTGGGCATGGGGTGTGCCTGTAGTCCTCGCTACTTTGGAGGCTGAGGCAGAAGAATCACTTGAGTTCAGGAGTTTGAGACTAGCCTTGGCAATACAGTGAGATTCCTGTCTCAAAAAAAATCAATAAATTTGCCACGAAATAATTTTTTAAAAATTCAAATTTTTTCATAATAAAAACTCAACAAATTAGGTACAGAAGTAACAAACCTCAAAAACAATAAAGATTATAAGCTATATATGACAAACTCACAGCTGACATCATACTGAACAGGGAAAAATTGAAAGCCTTTCCGGTAAGATCTGGAAAAAGAAAAGGATACCCTTTCACCACTTTTATTCAACATAGTACTGGAAGTCCTAGACAGCGCAGTTAGGCAAGAGAAAAAGGGCATCCAAATTGGAAAAGAAGAAGTCAAATTGGCCTCATTTACATATGATATGATCTCATATTTAGAAAAACCTAAAGATTCCACCAAAGGGATCACTGTTAATGAAACCCTGACCTACCTTTCCAGCCACATCTTCCATCTTTCACATTCACAAACTCTCCTTGAGCCAGGTGAGATTCCATACAAGTCCTTCACCCTCACTCCTGTCCTACTTCTGCCTGAAAGGTCTGGGCAGTACTGTTCTCTGACTTGAATGCCATGTCTTCCCTCTCCAACTTCAAATTCTTCCAGCTCCAGCTGGTCCAAGGAGCCTTCCCTGACAGTTTCAGTCCCTGCTAATAAAGCCTTTCTTAAATCCCTTCCTGCTCATATCATGTGCTGTATTGTATCCCTTACTTCTTACGCACTTTGTTTTATGTATAAACTGCTTGTGCACCAGGACTTTGTCTTCACTGGGCCCTGAGAGGTGCTGGCTGGAAAGCCGAGTTCACAGTAGAGCACTGGAGGTACCTTGTGCTAGGACTTTCTCCCACTCACCTAGAGGCTACAGAATGCCTAGGGAGTGCCATGCAGTCAGGTCAAAATCACCAAGATTAGATAGAAAATCTAATCTTGGCTTGTAATCCTAGTACTTTGGGAGGCTGAGGTGGGAGGATCACTTGAGCTCAGGAGTTCAAGACCAGCCTGGGCAACATAGTGAGTCCTCACCTCTATTAAAAAAAATTTTTAAGAAAATCTAATCTTGGACAGAGGAGACAGAACGTGGACCCTCCCATACCAACTCCCGAGGAGCTCACTCCAACAGAGAGCCCCATGGTCCCTGGAGGCTTTCCCTACAAACCCTCAGCAGCACATCCGTGTCTGCTCAAGATCTCTGGGAAATAGAATCCCTCCCACAGAGAATATGCAAACCCACATGGAAACTTCTATGCCAGAATGACTTTTCTGGACATGCCCAGATGATACCTACTGGCTCATTGACTCTCTTCCAGAAAATAGCAAGCAGGAAGACAGCCGCAATGGGTGGTCCCAAGTAACTGGTGATGGACTGGATGTAATCGAAGAGTTGCCCACTTTGTGCTGACTGCACAATGGGCACCCAGGCGATGCTGATGCCAATCAGCACCAGGATAAACAACCTGAAATTAAAGCCCCCACAACAAGGTGTCAATAAATAGCTCTACATGAGTATATATATATATATATATATATATATTTTTTTTTTTTTTTTTTTTTTGAGACAGAGTCTTGCTCTGTCACCCAGGCTGGAGTGCAGCGGTGCATCTCCGCTCACTGCAAGCTCTGCCACCCGGATTCACACCATTCTCCTGCCTCAGCCTCCTGAGTAGCTGGGACTACAGGCGCCCGCCACCACGCCCGGCTAATTTTTTGTATTTTTTTAGTAGAGACGGTTTCACCATGTTAGCCAGGATGGTCTCCATCTCCTGACCTCGTGATCCGCCCGCCTCGGCCTCCCAAAGTGCTGGGATTACAGGCGTGAGCCACCGCACCCGGCCTCTACATGAGTATATATTGCTATGTATTATACATATGCATACATACATATACACACTACCACCACCACCACTACCAGCAGCAAATATAACCACAGCAAGAAAAAATAATTTAAAAATGTATGCTTGAAGCTTTTTTTGCCTATAGGAAAGTCATTCATGCCTATGAATTAGTGAAACACACTTGACTTTCAATAGTAGCCTAGGCCCACTCACCACCATAAGAGAATCTCATTTTGAGAGGCAATAGAGTATGGGAACAAGGTATGAATTTTAGAGCCTGATAGTCCTGGATTCAAATTCTTATTATTTCTGTGTGACATAGGAGACATTTCTTAACCTCTCTGAGTCTCAAGTTCTTCATCTGTAAACTGGGAATAGGACTGACCTTGCAAGGTGGGAATAAGAATTAGTGATAGTAGTAGTGATACAAACACACACATGCACTGAGAGAATATTCTGTGGGAGTCACATGACATACACACCAGTGACCTCAATACAAGACCATATATGATCATGTGTACAATACAAACTAAGATCTACAGCAGTATACTTGAGCAAGAATATTCATGTGTTTTTACAAACATATTTTTTCATTCTTTTGTGTAAATATCAAGGAGTGATACTGCTGGATTATAGGGTAGATGGACATCCAACTTTATGAGAAACTGCCTGACTGATTTTCAAATTGCCTCTACTGTTTTGCATTGCTAGCAGCTATGTATAAGAATTCTGTTTGACCCACACCCTCACCAACATTTGATATCAATCTTTTGAATTTTAGTCACTCTAGTGTGTATGGTTTTGATCTCCATTTCCCTGATGCCTAGTGATGGCATTGAATACTTTTTTAATGTGCTTTGTTAGTCTTTTGGCTGTTTCTTAATTTGGTTGTTTTATTATTGAGCTGCTTACATATTCTGGATATAAATCCTTTGTTAGATATATGTTTAACAAATATTTTCTCCCTTTTCACTTGATTAATGGTGTCTTTGATAAACAAGTTTTAAATTCCGATAAAAAAAGAATTAGTGATAGTAAAACTAATCTAAGTGATAGTTAACTAAGTGAGAGTAAAACCTTGCAAATAGCAGGCACTTAATAAATAGTAAAAACTATTATTATTGTTTTCTTCTTCTCCTCCTTCTTCCCTTTTGTCTTCTTCTTCATAATAATGGAGTTATTAATAAAAACACTACACAAGATGATTTTATAAAGGAATGGTCTAGATAGGAAGAAACACTACCAGGTATTTCTACCTCTCCTCCTGCTGAGTTTCACTTCAAGTCCTGAAAAGACTGGAGATGTCCTTGCAAGCTCTTCTTATTTGTGCTCTTGATTGAATTAGAAAGATGACTGTGATTCCTTTTCTCACTTACTTGCAACTTAAATTGACCTCCACAAAGCAATGTTTTCACTCACACATTTCTCCCTCTGAAATGCCTTTCCACTGTCCCCCTTTTCCATATCCCACCCACCATTATGGACTTAGCTCAGGTTCTCCCTTCCCCAGGAGCCTTTCCCAGCCACTCATGCCACACTCATCACTCCCTTATCTGAGCTCCTGGTTGATCTTACAGTCCCCACAGCAGAGTTTGGAATGGTTTCACATCACTGTGAGCTCATCCAGGACTGGGACAAGCCCCAGGGCAGTAATTACAGGATACACAAAAATGTGAGCCCCAACATAGTCTCAGGGCCATGGGATTCATCCCTAACGAGGCAACAAAACATTTTCTGTAGCATTTTGCATTTGATCCACCTAAATAACTGGAAAAGTCAGTAAGTGCCTTTCTAAGGGAAAATCAATCAAGGTAACAGTGCTACTTTCTATGGTTCAGAGTAAAGATCCTCTGGCACAGTCAGATCTCCTTTGGGTGCCAGGTATCTTGTCAATTGAAAGTGGCCTACCATGTTTGCTTTGCTTCGTTCATTCCAATCTTGAAAATGAGACCTATGAGGTAGCAGCCTATACCCCTCCTGCACTCACTGGGAAACTTTCCCTTGACTGACATCCCAGGGACTTGGCCCACCTGCCCTAAGGAGGTTGACCTGCATTAGCCCCATAGAAAAACAAGCAAGGCTCCTGTTGATCCTCTGTCCAGAGCATCTGCTCCATGGATAATCATGATAATGAGCACACCTGACCCAGGTGTTGATACTTTAATGCTTTCAGGACCCTATTGCATTTATTAGCCCATTTGACAACAAGAAATGTGCACAGTGCTTGGTGTTTTAGACTGACTTTACAGAGTATATTCACAAGCACAACTGAACCTTCACAATCGTTCTGCAGAATGTTGCATCAAGGGGTCAAGTCATCAGAGGCACATGGGCCTCAAAGATGGCCAGTGTGGAGAGCTGCAGTGTGAGGGGCTGAGGAGGACAGTGTGGGGCAGTATAAGGAGCCTTGGACAAGGGCTCAGTTGGCTGCAGATTCCAGTCCTGTCTCTGCCACTGTCCAGACTGTTTGGATTTAGGCAGGATGAGCCTCAACCCAAATGACAGCCTGAGGGGTAAATTAGGTGTTTCTTATGTCCCTTCTAACTCCAGAGGGGCATTGTTCAATGATCTCCAATTTAAAGTTAAACGCCACTGTAGGATCTAGAAAAAAATGGCAGACAGGAGGCAGGACTAAATTGTAGCTCCCACTCAGATGGACAGAGCATCATGCAGAGACTAGCATCATGAACTTTTGCTCCAAGAACTACTGCAGGAATATACCAGGAAAGCCAAGAGGATCCACAGACCCTCTGAAGGTAGCAGATTGCTCCTGCAGGACCCAGGAGACAGCCCAAATACTGTGAGAGCCCAAACTGTGAATGTGGGAAAGGGGGATCATCCGCCCCCAAACACAGACCCTCACTGGGGAACCTGAAGGTCTAGATCACGGGAGAAGTATTTCAACAAATAGCGTGATGAATGGAATAGTACCTCACATCTCAATACTAACGTTGAATATAAATGGCCTAAATGCTCCACTTAAAAGATACGGAATTGCAGAATGGATAAGAATTTATCAATCAAGTATCTGCTGCCTTCAAGAAACTCACCTAACACATAAGGACTCACATAAATTTAAGGTAAAAGGGTGGAAAAAGACATCCCATGCAAGTGGATACCAAAAGTGAGCACAAGTAGCTCTTCTTATATTCTTTAACGTTTCAAAAGAAACTTTAAAGCAACAGCAGTTAAAAAAGACAAAGAGGAACATTATATAATGATAAAAGGCCTTGTCCAAGGGGAAAATGTCACAATCCTAAATATATATCCACCTAACACTGGACCTCCCAAATGTATAAAACAATTACTACTAGGCCTAAGAAATAAGATAGAAAGCAACACAATAATACTGGAGGACTTCAATACTCCACTGACAGCACTAGACAGGTCATCAAGACAGAAAGTCAACAAAGGAACAATGGATTTAAGCTATACCCTGGAACAAATGGACTTAACAGATATTTACAGAACATTGTACCCATTGACCACAGAATATACATTGTATTCATCAGTGCATGGAACATTCTCCAAGGTAGACTATATGATAGGCCACAAAACAAGTCTAAATAAATTTAAGAAAATTGAAATCATATCAAGTACTCTCTCAGACCACAGTGGAATAAAACTGGAAATCAACTTCAAAGGGAACCTTCAAAACCATGCAAATACATGGAAATTAAATAACCTGCTCCTGAATGATCATTGGGTCAACAATGAAATCAAGATGGAAATTTTAAAATTTTTTGAACTGAAAGATAATAGTGACACAACCTATCAAAACCTCTGGGATACAGCAAAGGTGGTGTTAAGAGGAAAGTTCATAGCCCTAAATGCCTACATCAAAAAGTCTGAAAGAGCACAATAGACAATCTAAGGTCACACCTCAAGGAACTAGAGGAACAAGAACAAACCAAACCCAAGCCCAGCAGAAGAAAGGAAATAACCAAGATCAGGGCAGAACTAAAAGAAAGTGAAACCAAAAAAAAAATACAAAAGATAAATGAAACAAAAAGTTGGTTCTTTGAAAAGATAAATAAAATTGATAGACCATTAGCAAGATTAACCAAGAAAAGATGAGAGAAAATCCAAATAAGCACAATTAGAAATGAAACAGAAGATATTACAACTGACACCACAGAAATACAAAAGATAATTCAAGGCTACTATGAACACCTTTATGTGCATAAACCAGAAAACCTAGAGGAGATGGATAAATTCCTGGAGAGATACAACCCTCCTAGCTTAAATCAGGAAGAATTAGATACCCTGAACAGACCATTAGCAAGCAGCGAAGTTGAAATGGTAATTTAAAAATTACCAACCAAAAAAAGTCCAGAACCAGACGGATTCACAGCTGAATTCTACCAGACATTCAAAGAAGAATTGGTACCGATCCTATTGACACTATTCCACAAGATAGAGAAAGAAGGAATCCTCCCTAAATCATTCTATGAAGCCAGTATCACCCTAATACCAAAACCAGGAAAGGACATAACAAAAAAAGACAACTACAGACCAATATCTCTAATGAACATAGATGCAAAAATCCTTAACAAAATACTAGCTAACTGAATCTCAAAACATATCAAAAAGATAATCCACCATGATCAAGTGGGTTTCGTACCAGGGATGCAGGGATGGTTTAACATATGCAAGTCAATAAGTGTGACACATCACATAAACAGAATTAAAAACAAAAATCACATGATCATCTCAACAGACATAGAAAAAGCATTTGAAAAAATCCAGCATCCATTTATGATTAAAATACTCAGCAAAATTGGCATAAAAGCATACCTTAATGTAATAAAAGCCATCTATGACAGACCCACAGCCAATATAATACCAAAAGGGGAAAAGTTGAAAGCATTCCCTCTGAGAATTGGAACAAGACAAGGATGCCCACTCTCACCCACTTGTATTCAACATAGTACTGGAAGTCCTAGCCAGAGCAATCAGACAAAAGAAAGAAATGAATGGCATCCAAATCAGTAAAGGGGAAGTCAAACTGTCACTGGTTGCTGATGATACAATCATATACTTAGAAAACCCTAAAGACTCCTCCAAAATGCTTGTAGAACTGATAAATGAATTTGGCAAAGTTTCAGGACCCAAAATTAATGTACACAAATCAGTAGCTCTGCTACATCAACAGTGACCAAGCTGAGAATCAAATCAAGAACTCAACTCCTTGTACAATAGCTGCAAAAAAAAAAGAAAGAGAGAGAAGAGAAAAGAAAAGAAAAGAAAGGAAAAAAGACTTAGGAATATACCTAACCAAGGACGTGAAAGACCTCTACAAGGAAAACTACAAAACACTGCTGAAAGAAATCACAGATGACACAAACAAATGGAAACACATCCCATGCTCATGGATGGGTAGAATCAATATTGTGAAAATGACCATACTGCCAAAAGCAATCTACAAATTCAATGCAATTCACATCAAAATACCACCATCATTCTTCACAGAACTAGGAAAAACAATACTCACATTCATATGGAACCAAAAAAAGAGCCCACATAGCCAAAGCAAGACTAAGCAAAAAGAACAAATCTGGAGGCATCACATTACCTGACTTCAAACTATACTATAAGGCCAGAGCCACCAAAACAGCATGGTACTGATATAAAAATAGGCACAGAGACTAATGAAACAGAATGAGAGAACCCAGAAATAAACCCAAATACTTAGAGCCAACTAATCTTTGACAAACCAAACAAAAATATAAAGTGGGGAAAGGACACCCTATTCAACAAATAGTGCTGGGATAATTGGCAAGCCACATGCAGGAGAATAAAACTGGATACTCATCTCTCACCTTATACAAAAATCAACTTGAGATAATTCAAGGACTTAAATCTAAGACCTGAAACTATAAAAATTCTAGAAGATAGCATCAGAAAAACCCTCCTAGGCATTGGCTTAGGCAAAGAGTTCACGACCAAGAACCCAAAGGCAAATGCAACAAAAACAAAGATAAATAGGTGGGACTTAACTAAAGAGCTTCTGCACAGCAAAAGGAACAGTTAGCAGAGTAAACGGGCAACCCACACAGTGGCAGAAAATCTTCACAATCTATACTTCCAACAAAGGACTAATATCCAGAATCTACAAAAAATTTCAAACAAATTAACAAGGAAAAAATAATCACCTTACTCCAAGAATGACTGTAATTTAGAAATAAAAAAAATAGATATTGGTGTGGATGTGGTGAAAAGAACACTTTTACACTGTTGGTGGGAATGTAAACTAATACAACCACTATGGAAAACAGTATGGACATTCCTTAAAGAACTAAAAGTAGAACTACCATTTGATCCAGCAATCCCACTACTGGGTATCTACCCAGAGGAAAAGAAGTCGTTATACAAAAAAGATGTTTGCACACGCAGGTTTATAGCAGCACAATTCATAATTGCAAAAATATGGAACCAGACCAAATGCCCATCAATCAACAAGTGGATAAAGAAATTATGGTGTATATATACATATGATGGAATCCTACTCAGCCATAAAAAGGAACGAATTAATGGCATTCGCAGCAACTGGATGAAACTGGAGACTATTATTCTAAGTGAAGCAATTCAGGAATGGAAAACCAAACATCATATGTTCTCACTTATAAGTGGGAGCTAAGCTATGAGGTTGCAAAGGCATAAGAATGATACAGTGGATTTTGGGGACTCACGGGAAACGGGTGGGAGGGGGGCGAGGGATAAAAGATTACAAATTGGGTTCAGTGTATAATGCTCAAGTGATGG
Source organism: Homo sapiens (assembly GCF_000001405.40). Lineage (NCBI taxonomy): Eukaryota > Metazoa > Chordata > Mammalia > Primates > Hominidae > Homo > Homo sapiens. Next base: position 32,092,039 of record NC_000022.11, on the reverse strand, counting down.
GTGTACCAAAATCTCACAAATCACCACTAAAGAGCTTACTCATGTAACCAAATACGACCTGTTTCCCAAACATGAATGGAAATAAAAAATTTAAAAATAATAAAATAAAATAATAAGTAAATAAAGTTAAATGCCACCAAATGGCACATATAACCAGCCACAGAAATTATTCCCATTCTACCCAGGCATCTGCCAACCTTCCCTAGCTTGAGGGGTAACACAGATGGAACCTCTCTGATCATTCAAGCTTTTGTGGCTTGGGGGAAGCTGCATTTACCTTCCGGCAATCATGAGCTCTTTCTCAGATGCTCTCTTGCGGACCTTGGCGTAGATGTCCATGGTGAAGAGGGTGCTGGCGCTGTTGAAGATGGAGGTCAGGGAGCTCATGAGGGAGGCCAGCATGACTGATAGCATCAGGCCTCGCAGTCCTGGAAGAGAAGGATTTTTGAGTGGCACATAACAGCACCTTCAGCTCTTTTGTACTTGAAAAATATATGAGGACTCAAGATTTGTTTGCCTTCTGAAACCATGCCATGTTATCCAATTTCTGTCTCCAAAAAGACTAGAAGCTTTAAGAAGTAGTCCTATGGCTTTAAATTTATTAGCCCATTATAAGCCCACAGCAGCCACAAAGAGCCAGAGACACAACATACTTGAGGTGAATACTTTGCAACTGGACGATGATGAAGGTGGTGGGGTGTGTGTGTGTGTGTGTGTGTGTGTGTGTGTGTGTGTGTGTGTTTGTGTATGTGTGTTTCCATCTGAGGGGATTTTTATAAGGTCTCTCACCTGAAATATTTATGATATAACAGAAAGAGATTTAAACTATTATTCAAAAGATGGGGCTCTCAAGAAAGTAAGCCATCCACAGACTGGGAGAAAATACGTGCAAATCATGTATCTGATAAGGGTCTAATATAAGAACATATAAAGAACTCCTAAAATTCAATAATAAAATGACAACCCAATTTAAAATGCCAAAGGATCTGAATAGACACTTCTCCAAAGCCATACAAATAGCCAATAATGACATGAAAAGATGCTTGACATCAGGGGAATTCAAATCAAAGCCATAGTGGGATAATAACTTTGTACCCACTAGGATAGCTATGATAATAAATTTTTAAAAAACAGAAATAACAAGTGTGAGTGGAGATATGGAGAAATGAGGACCTTCATATATTGCTGGCAGGAATGTAAAATGGTACAGCCACTGCAGAAAATAGTCTGGGTCAGTCAGTTTTTCAGATGGTTAAACATTCAGCTACCATATTACCCATCAATTCCATTCCTAGGTGGAATTTCATTTCTCTCTACCCAAGAGAAATGAAATTCCATTCCTAGGTGGAATTTCATTTCTCTCTACCCAAGAGAAATGAAAACATATGTCCACTCAAAAACTCATACATTAATGTTTGTAATATTATTACTTGTAATACCCAAAAAGGAGGAGCAATACAAATGTCCACCAAATGATAAGTGGATAAACAAAATGCATAAGCAATTGACAAATGGGTAAACATGTGATGGAATATTATTCATCAATAAAAAGGAATGACATACAAATACATGCTAGGACACATATGAACCTTGCAAACATTATGTTAAGTAAAAGAAGCAAGTCACAAAAAAACACGTATTATATGATTCTATTTATATGAAATATCCAGAATAGGCAAATCTAGGAATACAGAAAGTATGTTAGTGGTTGCCAGGGACTGGGAGGTTGGGGTGAAATAGGGAGAGACTGCTCATTTCATTAGCAGGTATAGGATTTCTTTATGGCATGACACAAATTTTCTAAAATTTATTTCAGTGATGCTTGCACAACTCTGTGAATATACTTAAAAAACCACTGAATTGTACATTTTAAATGAGGGAATTGTAGGATAGGTGAATTTAAGCTCAATTAAGTTTTTTTGTTTTTTTTTTTTTTTTTGAAAGACAAGGCTGTATTTCTAACTCTGATCCTAAGCAAGTTACGTCAAGCTCTAGGCCTCATTTCTTGATGTGTTAAACAGGGATACCTTCCCAAATCAGTATACGGAATACTACACCTTCCCAAATAGGAATACGGAACTCTTGTTATTAAAGTTTTCTCAATTATGGCAAGCCTGGTTGGCTATAATCTCTATTATTCTTCCCATACCAAGGAGTGTACAGGGGGACACCTGCTGAGGCTAGAAGGCCAGGCCAAGCTGAGGACCCACTAACAAGAGTTTTACAGTTTCAGGAGTAAAAGTAACCTTAGGATCACCTAGACCTATCATCCATCTGATACATGAATCCCTTCCACAACATTCCTCTGCCCATCTCTATAGCAACAGGAAATCTCCTACCCTACAGGGAACCTGCCCTCAGACAGTTCTGAGTAGGCTGAAATCTACCTCTCTATAGCATCAAATGTAGTCCTCATGGTACCCAACAGAACAGGTCTTACTCCTTATCCATTTTGCCATCTTTCATATATTCAAAGATAACTCATGTTCCCTTGAACTCTCTCTTCTCTATATTCCTATCTAACTGCATTTAGGAGACCCAAATGTTTAGAACTTTACTTATACCTCTATTAAACTTCAGCTGGTTAGATCTGAGTCAGCATTCATGCCTCTTGAGATCTTTTTGGAACACAATTCTGTCTTTCCTCTAGGTTTTATATCTTTAAATAATTTATGGTCTCACCTACAGCCTTGCAAGATGAATTCTAAAGGCTGCCTATTCTAATTATTTTGTCATTTGTTGCGAGGTTTTTTTAATGGCTCTTTCTGAGTTTGTGTGGTATAGATCACAAACTATCAGAGATATAGAAGTTATAAAGATCATCAAGTCCAATTATCTCATTTTTCAGTTGATAAAGGTCCATTTCAAGGAGTTAGTAGGAAGGGCTTTCAGCCCTAGCTCTGCCATTCGTTCAGGATTACTTTGCCTTGAAATTGGTAAGCTGGGATAGAACTTTCCCCACTGTATGACACTCTTATCAGACCCCATTCATTTAATTACTCAACAAATATTTGCTGAACACAATTTTACAGTGCATAATTTTACAGTGGTCTAGGCAAAAAATAATGGTCTATCAGACTAGGGTAACAAAAGTAAAAATAGAGAGACATACATTAGGAGACAAAATAGACACAAGTTGGTGTGGATTGGTGGGAGGATCACCTACTTGCTGAGTGGAGGAGGCTGAATCTGCAAATGGAATGAAAAGGAGCAGCCAGAGAGGATGGGGAAAATTTAAAAAGACAAACAGGAGAATACAGTATGATGGAATCCAAGAGAAGAGAACAACTCAAGAAGGATGAGTGATCGATAATGCTGAATGCCACTGAGGGATCCAGTAAGGTGAGGAATGGAAAATATCTATTTAGTCTAGCACAGGGAGGTCATTAAGGAATACAGTAGGCTGGGCATGGTGACTCACACCTGTAATCCCAGCACTTTGGGAGGCTGAGGCGAGTGGATCACCTGAGGTCAGGAGTTTGAGACCAGCGTGGCCAATGTGGTGAAACCCCGTCTGTACTAAAAATACAAAAAAATTAGCTGGGCGTGGTGGCAGGTGCCTGTAATCCCAGCTACTACAGAGGCTAAGGCAGGAGAATTGCTTGAACTGGGGAGGTGGAGGTTGCAGTGAGCTGAGATCACGCCATTGCACTCCAGCATGGGTGATAAGAGCAAGACTCCATCTCAAAAAAAAAAAAAAAAAGGAATGCAGTATTTACTGAAGCCAGATTACAGCCAAGAGGAGGGACTAGCAATGGCACAGGGAAGCACGGCATTTTATTCTGCATGCCACACATCTTTCTGTTGTGCACAGTCCACTCCCGCATAATGTTTAGTCCTCACTAGGAGGGTCTGCCCACCTAAAGGAATAACATAAACACTCCACAGAGGCCAATGCAATCCATGCCAGAACTTTTCTAGAAGAGTCACTGTGACTCCTGCTAATTGTAACCTTATGAATAAGCAGCCCAGCTCAGTAGGCTAGTTAAGTATTATTCCCATTTTTATATAATTTGAATGCAAATGGTTTGCCCAAAGTCATGCATGAAGTTTGTAGTTTTTTAATTTTTTAAAAGACTCTCCCGAATTCCTCAATTCCAGCCTTGAGCAGCGTTAAGCATGCCAAATGCCAGACACCACGTTCCTGCCTGGCCCTGGAAAACTCACCTCCCCTCTATTGGCTTCCGTTTCCCCAACTGTAAAATGAAAGAATTTGACTAGTCTCTAAGTTTCTTTTCAGTAATACAATTTTATAGGTTTATTCTAAATTTTTCTAGGTAATAACTTTGAAGTTTTGTTCTCCTGAAACCCCCTAACCTAACCCCCTAGCCAGATTTGTATCCCTTGAGCCAGAATTAGGAGATTTTTCTGAAACATGACTGTAATCCCACAGGTCAACTACAAAACTCTAGCTATTCAGGAGTCACAGCTAAGTACTCAGTCTCCTAGGAAAACAGATTCTTTATGGTGACAAGCCGCCTTGAATGCCATCCATCTCCTGCCTCAGACTTTCTCATTCTAGAGCTGAAATCTTGCCTCTTTCCCCATGTGTTTCCTTGGAAGAGCATAAAAGTCAATTCATTCTCCAGGTAAAACCCCTTGGACCTAGTTCAAGCCTTCATTTTAACATCTGTTGGAGAGCTTTTTAAAAATATTTTTTAATTGGCAAGTAAAAGTTATGTATATTGAGGGTATATAATATGATGTCTTGAAATATCTATACATTAGCTCAATTGAGCTAATTAGCAAATATATGCATTACCTTAAATACTTAACATTTTTTGTGGTGAGAACAGTTAAAATCTACTCTTGGCAATTTTCAAGTATACAATACGTTGCTATTAACTATAGTCACTATGTTGTACAATAGATCTCTTGAACTTATTCCTCTTAACTGAAATTTTGTATCCATTGACCAACATCTTCCCAGATCCCCACCCCAACCCCTAGTAACCACCATTCTACTCTCTGCTTCTACAAATTTGACTTTTTAAGGCTCTACATGTAAGTGACAATATGTGGTATTTGTTTGAGTCTAAAGTATTTCACTAAACATAATGTTCTCCAGGTTCATTTATGTTGTCATAAATGACATAATTTCCTTCTTTTTGAGGGTGAATAGTATCCCATTGTGTATATACTGTATATTACATTTTCTTTATCCATTCATCCATTCATTCATTGATAGGCATTTATATTGATTCCACATCTTGACTACTGTGAACAATGCTACAGTGAACATGGGAGAGCAGATATCTCTTCAAAACACTGATTTCATTTCCTTTGGCTATATGCCCAGTCATGGGATTACTAGATCATATGGTAGTTCTATTTTTAATTTTTTGAGGGACCACCATCCAGTTTTCCATAATGGGTGTGCTAATTTACATCCACTGTTGGAGAGCTTTGAAAGACCTTCTGTATGAGTATGGAAAGTCATGTTTTTCTCTAACAAGTTTTCAGATCATCTCCTTTCCAAGCCTGACTGATGGGCAAGTCCCAGAACTCATAGAACCCAACCAAGTCATATGTCTCCTTCCCACTGAGAGAGGACATGTCCAAAAACTGAGGACACCCACAATGATGCTTTCCCTTCTAACCCCCCGGCTAAGAAATGTCTTTGCCCAGAAGGTTCACAGGAATGTAGGTGGTGCCTAAACCCAATCAGCCTCCCAAGAAAGACTCTACCAACCTCCCAAGAAAGAATCTCACCATTGGGCATGAGCTCCACCACTAAGGTTGGATAGGCGATGTTGGTACAGCCAACCTTGGTACCGCAATATTTCTCACATTCTGAAGGGACGACACAGGCAATTTTTTCTGGGAAGAGATGGAGAGCCACGTCAGCAAGCAGACATTGGGGAAATATTTCCAAAATTCACCTTCTTTTTTTTTTTTTGAGACGGAGTCTCACTCTGTAGCCCAGGCTGGAGTGCAGTGGCACGATCTCGGCTCACTGCAAGCTCTGCCTCCCGGGTTCACGCCATTCTCCTGCCTCAGCCTCCCAAGTAGCTGGGACTACAGGCGCCCACCACCATGCCTGGCTAATTTTTTGTATTTTTAGTAGAGATAGGGTTTCACTGTGTTAGCCAGGATGGTCTCGATCTCCTGACCTCGTGATCCACCCGCCTCAGCCTCCCAAAGTGCTGGGATTACAGGCGTGAGCCACCGTGCCCGGCCAAAATTCACCTTCTTAAAACAAGGTTTCAAACAGGATATTCCTTTCCAAGGCTCTGAAATGGTTCCTCAGGAGTGCAGCTCTCCACAGAACCCTTTGGTGCCTGCCCCGCCCTGCTGGCCCTGACACACTGATGAGCTCTGACTAAGGAAGAAAGACAATTTCTAGGCAACGGAGGAAAGAAATCAAAGAAACATTCAGGGTGGAAGGATGACAGCAAGAGATTAAGCAACAATTGAGCAAATATTATTAGGGAGAAGTGACCTGGAGGCATGTCATAACTTTAGAAGATTTGAAAAAAAAAAAAAAAAAAAAGGAGGAAACAATTGTCGACATAAGAAACCAGGGAAGACAACTCCAAAAGTTCCCTCAAGTTGCTCACTGTCTAGCACAGGAGCAATAATGCTTGGATATGACCATAACAAATAAAGAAGAGGGCCAGGCGTGGTGGCTTATGCCTATAATCCCAGCACTTTGGAAGGCCAAGGCAGGAGGATCACTTGAGGCCAGGAGTTCAAGACCAGCCTGAGCAACATAGCAAAATCCCATCGCTACAAAAAAAAAAATTAAAAATTAGGCAGGCATGGTGGTACATACCTGTAGTCCCAGCTGCTCAGGAGGCTGAAGCAGGAAGGTCACTAGGGCCCAGGAGTTAGAGTTGGAGACTGCAGTGAGCAATGATCACACCACTGCACTCCAGCCTGGGTGACAGAGTGAGACCTGGTCTCAAAAAAAAAGAGGAGGAAGCGGGAAGCTATAGAGCTTTAGAAGTGACTTGGAGACAGAAAAAGGGAGAGTGGTTTGTGGGTCCAGCAGAAGTTATTACCTGTGTACAGAATGCGGCTGATCATTCCTGGCATCACCATGATGAACATGGGCATCAGCTTTAGATACCCACACAGGATGCAGCCACCCTTCACGTGAGACATATTCTTGGCTGAGAGGCAGCGCTGCACAATGACCTGCCAGAAAAAGCCCAGTAAGGGAGGTGTGCAGACCAGAGACCCTGTGACACCTTTGTACTTCCTAGCTTCGCCATCTTGGGTCATTGGCCTGGCACTGCTGTATCACTGGGGCGTGGCAACTTACAAACCACCTGAGCTCTCCCCTCCCTGTCCCAACCCTGCAAACCACAGACAGACAGGAGTTCCTGTAGGGCCCTGGAGAAGACTCTGTCCATCCCGCACATCCAGCTTGGGTACCTGATCTGTGCACCAGTACCACAAGGTAAGGATGGACATCCCAAAGATGAACCCAGGCCATGGGAGGTCTCCCGTGAGGGGATCTCGGAAGATGTGGAAGGAGTCGGCCCTTGGAGTGTAGCATTTTTCCTGAAAGGTGGTGTTGCCATCAGACACTATGGTTGGAATGGCTTTCATGTACTTTTCCATGAAGGCGTCATAGCCTCCCACTTCGTGAAAAGCTGGAAAACATCGGTACAGAAATGAACATTCTGAAACCTTCAACTCGTCATAGCAGCTTCTTTCCATAGATGCCTGAGAAACTGAGAGGACCCAACCCACAGACAGAGCCCTCACTGAGTGGCCTTGGGCAAATCACCTTCCCATTCTGGGCCTCAGCTTTGTCATCCATAGAATGAGATTAGTAGCCCTGCCCAGCCCCCTTGGGGGCTATTATGGGGACCAAAGCAATCACTTGTAAAAGTACTCCAACTGTAAACCTCTTTGTAAAAGGGAAGGGACTTTTATTAATCAAAGAAAGACCTTGGTTTGGGACCACATACAAAGACTCTGTTTTTTCCCTCACCCTCTGCTGTCAGCCATGGCCTTTGGAGCCTTGGACTCAGGCCTAGAGACACACAGACCTAGACACACACAGTGGCCTTTGGGACCTCAGACCCACACCTACCACTCCTGGACCCAGCATGTGGTGGGATGGACAGGGAATGGGTGAGGAATCCAGAACCTGCCACCTCTCAATTGTGTGTCCTTGAATAAGTCATTCCACTGCCTGCCTAGCTAACACCCAAGGCCTGCTGGGGAGAACCAAATGAAAGTCCTTAGAAAACAGAAGAGTGGAGAGCAAATACAAGTTTTTGCAGGATACACAGTGGGCCTTGAGCACCTAGAAATAAAATGTACTTTCTATCCTCCCATAATAAGTACCCTTACCTAGGTTCTCCAGTCTCATCTTTAAGATTTCATAGACAAGTAAAATTGCAAAAAAAAAAAAAATTAATTGGAGGGCCAACCCTGAGGAGCCAAGTTTTTAATTTTGCCAAATAGGGGCATTAAAAGGAACATTATCACCCACTATCAACAATTCATAAAAGAAAGGATATTTGACATCAAAATGTAGATAAGATATAGCCTAAGATGGAAGACGCAACATTTGACTAGATTTAGCTTGATGGATATTTAGCCTTATCCTTTTTTGTCCAGTTTCTCTGCAAACAGAACACCATGTTATCACAGGCTCACAGCACAACCACTAGCCCAGACTGGTGAGAGAGGGCAGCAGAAAATCCAGGACCAGCCCCAGCTTCAGTCTTCCAGGGATAAGGAAGCTGACCCTGCATACCCACAATGACAGCCCATCTGGGCTGGACCCTCCGTTTGGAAGGGCAGAGCATGCCTCAGCTCACTGCCTAGTCTGGCAAGCAGGTAGAGAGGCTGGACTTGCCTTCCTCTTCCTGAGGCCCTCTACCTCTGCTCCCACCTCCTCAGCCTGCCCTGGCCCCACTTACCAAACCCAGTCAGGATTAAAGACCCCACCAGCATGATCACCGTCTGCAAGGTGTCCGTGTAAATCACCGCCGCCAGGCCCCCTAAGCAGGCAAGAAGACAACACATCTGACCTCGTGTGGAGGGTGACCTGTCTACTTGCTTCCTTCCCCACTCTCCACCCTCTACTTCTGCTGGCCTTCTGAGAACATCCCCACAGTGGTTTGCCTGCCTCTCCTTCCTTCCCTCCCTTGTCCTGTTACAGTATTTTGCTATTCAGCATGTTCCCACAGCTCCACCTGTCATAGAAGTGGCGAATGTTTCTCCCTACTTGAGGGGAAAGAGTCTGGTGTGACCCTTTTGAGCCAGAAGATGGCTCAAAGGAGATGACTCCTCTGTGGTAAGAAGAAGCGTCTTCCACACACAAGGCAGGGAGGAGCAAAGAGCTGGCTGTGGAGATGGTGGGACATATGTCTACCTTTTTCTTAGTCCCCAAAGCTGTGGGGCTGCAGTCAAGCAGCAAGTTCTAAAGCTGATCCCTCCCACCCCCACCAAGGAGGCAGAGTGACCCCTCTGCAAAGGAGCCCCAATTGCTATTTATGCACCAGCTTCTTGGGTGGCCACTTGAGTCCTCTTCTGAAACCTCTGTGTGTGAGTCACTGCCTTTCTCCCTCCTTACAGGGGCTCCCAGTCCCTGACACATCAAATCCAAGGCCTCTGCCTGGCTTTCCAAACCCCAGTATACTGTGTTCAAAACACACAGTATGCTGTGACCTCATCTGAACTATCAAGCTATATGGTCCCCACAAACCCCCACGATCCTTCAGTGGCCACCCTCCTCCAGCCAAGAGCATCTGCGTGCCCACCCTGCCTCCACTCCCCTGTGCTCACTTATTTCTGCACCTGCCACTGCTCTGATTCTCCCACCTTAGCTAAGTCATCTCCACAACCCACAGGGCCCAGCTCTGCATGCACTCCTGTGAGAAGCTGCCCTGACTATCCCAGCCAACACCACAGCTTTCTGAAACCACTTGTATAACTTGGAGGGTCTATGAGTTGGTACTAAGCAAATACCTCACTCCCAAACTCTTACCTGAGTGTATCTCTCCTCAAGAAGAGAAACCACCTCTCCTACTTCCCTTTATCCTTCACTAGTGCCTGATCCCGAGCTGGGTTTGAGGTGCTGGTTTATTTGAATGGACTCACCTGTAATTGTGTAAAGGGCAGTGATTGCCAATAAGAGAAAGATGGCTAAATACAGATTCAGGCCTAAGGCCAGATTGATGAATATGGCCCCCGAGAAGATGTCTGCCTGGAAGGAGAGGAGAGGCGGAGTTAGGAGGGAGAGTGGTCAGCTGCCTACAGGGCCTGTAGTCTCTCTACTCCTGATTTTCCAAGCAAGCTTTATTCAAGATGATAATACGTATTCCATGAGAAAAAGAATTCCATGGTCAAAAAGGTCTATAAAATGCTAAACAGAATTAAGGCAGTTTCTTTGCCACACAACTTTTCTGAGCCTTTAATATATGCCATGTACAGTCATCCCCAGGGAGGGAACACGGTACATGACATCTCACAAACTCACTCAACTATTGAACTCTTTTTGCCAAGGAACAGCTATTAACACTTAGAGGTTCCTTGCAAGTCACCTGTAGACTGTTGCTCTGAGCTATTGTCCATCTTTTGCACCTCAGTGTACACAGGTTTATCAGAGCTCGTCCCCAAAAGCAAGTCTGAGTGCTGGAGAGTCCATAAGTGAGAAACCCCACCCCCACCCAGGAGCGGGGAGAAACTTAGCAAGTTTGTAATTTTAACTCCCCAACCCGGATGCAGTCCATCTTGACTCAGACACAACCAGAACATCACCAAGCACCTCTTACATAGCAGGCTTGGTACTTGCTGGTTTTATTTAGATTATTTCATGTAATTTCTGGGAGAATTGCTCCCTCCTCACTCCTGAATTCTTGATGCAGTTCTTCCATCTTCACCCTTTCTCCTCCTTCCTGTCTCTTTCAGCCTTCTCCTAATGAACCTTCTACCTGGCTGGATGGTGCAGTTGCTCATATAAACCAGCAGAGAGCACCAGGGTCACCCCAAATGCATGTTCATGTCATCTCCAAAACAATACCAGGGAGGGTAGTATTAAGGGATGATCATGGTGAGTCTTTTTTATTTATTTATTTTTTGACAGAGTCTCACTCTGTCGCCCGGGCTAGAGTGCAGTGGTGCGATCTCAACTCACTGCAACCTCTGCCTCCTGGGTTCAAGCGATTCTCCTGCCTCAGCCTCCTGAGTAGCTGGGATTACATGTGTGCACCACCACACCCAGCTAATTTTTGTATTTTTAGTAGAGACAGGATTTCACCATGTTGGTCAGGCTGGTCTCGAACTCCTGACCTCGTGATCTGCCTGCCTTGGACTCCCAAAGTGCTGGGATTACAGGCGTGAGCCACTGCGCCCAGCTGAGTCTTTTGTTTTCAAATCTCCAGGTGTGGACGAAACTGGACTTCCCTAGATGGAATGAATGCACGAACTGTTTTCACTGCACAAACCCTAACATTTCACGGCACGCAAACAGCACCCAGACGGAGCCTTGGGGATGGGCCAGCAGGGTTGGACTCTTACTTCTCACATCTCCTCTTATATCTTGCATCTCCTCTCTAGTTCCGTTTCCCAGTCCCCATCCCATTGCTGCTCCTGAGGGCCCTCCAGTGTTTAAGTTTCCCACCATACCTGCCTGTCCCTCCTATGAGAATCTCCTATTCCCTCCCTCCATCAGTTAGCAAAGAGCACATCTAATACCAACTCCATGCTTCTGAGCTAACACGTGAGCCCTGGAGGGTGATTCGACCTCCTTCCCGAAGGTGGGCCTTTTGAGGACCTGATGCCATAGTTCCCCTCTGCCCAGATCTCCCCTGAAGATTCTCTCACCCAGGGGACCCAATGTCACCATCTTCCCTGGTGAAGGAGGGGAGGCAGAGCCAGGAGGTGGGAGGAGAGATGGTGAGTTAGAAAGAAACTCCTCTCTCCCTGGAGTTAGCAGTCAGAAGAACCAGCATTTTAGCCCCAGTGCCGCCACTCTAGGCCTGCAAACCTTTGGGCAAAACATTTCCCCTCTCTAATTCTCAGTGTCCTCGTGTTTATGCAGGAAGTCCTGGCTCCAGGGACTTGTGATTCTCAGTGGTTGGAAGTGGGAAAGGTCTGCAGTGAGGAAAGCATTCTTCTCCCGGGTTCTGGACCGCTTCCATTCTGCCTTGCCCTCTGCAGTAGCCCAAGAGGAGGAAGGCGCCTCTGCTGTGCATAAGTCTTGCCAAAAGTGAAATGGCCACTTCTTCCTGACTCTGCACACTGGGCCATTTGAAATTGTAATGAATATTTATAATGCTGGTCCCTCTCCTCTCATGCCTCTACACAGTCACATAAAGTTACTTAAATTCAAGGGGCCCCATTCACTGATTGCAGTGAAATTCTGTTAAATGCACACACGTTTGATTTGGTGGATTAGCTAATAAGTGTAAATAAGATAGGAAAAGATTACAAAGCTGACACTGCCTTTAAACTGCCCTTGGTTGATTTTCCAGAGTAGTTAATTTTTAATGCTTTATGACAACATGCCATCGTAGACTGTGATACCCTCATTAATATGTGCCTTGCTGTCATTAGTCACAAAGAGGCAACACATAAGTTATAAGATAATGCTATAAATGACCTCTATAAAGACTTCTGAAAAGTGTTGGGCTAATAAAAGTCTTGTTTTTATGATATTCTATTTCCTTCTAACAGTACAGATAAAGGATTCTAAGGAAACCTCCCTGGTGAATTGAAGAAACCTAGGACAAATTCTTCCTCGCATGAGTCATTCTAACTTCAGAGATGAATTCTGCCTTGGCATGCCAAAGGCCAGGCTGGGAATACCTTAGCTAAGCTTATGTAGCTGACTCCAGCTGAGCAAGGCCACTCTAGTCTGGGTGCTCTGACATTAGTCTTTGGTCCTTCCTAGCTGCCAAACAAACCCACTAGGGTTGTTTTTTTTTGTTTGTTTGTTTGTTTGTTTTCTTTTCTTCATGTTCAGAGAGTTTTACAGTTTACCAAGGACATTTAGGCACATGCGTTATTTTGATCCTCAAAACAACATTGAAAAGTAAGGGACCTCCTTTCTGCTTTCTGGAATATTTTCTACAGAGAGCAAGGTCTTTTTTTTTTTTTTTTTTTTTTTTTTTTTTGGAGACAGAGTCTTGCTCTTTCGCCAGGCTGGAGTGCAGTGGCACAATCTCGGCTCACTGCAACCTCCATCTCCCAGGTTCAAGTGATTCCCCTGCCTCAGCCTCCTGAGTAGCTAGGACTACAGTTGCGTGCCACCATGCCTGGCTAATTTTTTTTGTATTTTAGTAGAGACAGGGTTTCACCCTGTTGGCCAGAATGGTCTCAATCTCCTGATCTTGTGATCCACCCACCTCAGCCTCCCAAACTACTGGGATTACAGGCCTGAGCCACCATGCTCAGCCAGCAAGGTCTTTTTTAGCAACAAAGAAAAAGTTTTTAATTTACTTTTAAAATAAAATCTCAAATAAAATAATGTATGTGTGGGGGGTTAAAATAAACACCACAGGCCAGGCACAGTGGCTTATGCCTGTAATCCCAGCACTTTGGGAGGCTGAGGCAAGCAGATCACTTGAGGTCAGGAGTTTGAGACACCAGCCTGGCCAACATGGTAAAACCCTGTCTCTACTAAAAATACAAAAATTAGCCAGGTGTGGTGGCGCATGCCTGTAATCTCAGCTAACTGGGAGGCCGAGGCAGGAGAATTGCTTGAACCTGGGAGGCAGAGGTTGCAGTGAGCCGAGATTGTGCCACTGTACTCCAGCCTGGGTGATAGAGTTTTGCTCAAAAAAAAAGAAAAACAAATAAAAATTGAATAAATAAATAACCGCAGAAGTTACACACTGAAAAGTAAAAGTAGCCCAGAAGTGACCACTGTCAAGAGATTTTTGTCCACCAGAGGATTTTTAAATGGCTTTCTAAAAATTATATGTCAACAGTTATGTTCTGCAGCCCCTAAAAATAATAATTATGAAAACTGAAACTGGAACATTTACAATTTGATGGTAGGGGTGGGGAGAAGACAACAAAATGATGCGCATATTCTAATTGCAACTTTGTGAAAGAATACACACAATTTGAGCAAGGCCAAAATATGAAAATATTGGTATTGGAGTTAAAGTGTGCATCTCCCACCCCAAGATTTTTAAATGCCAATGTTACATTTTTCCTACAGTTTCAAAAGTGCAGGAAGCAGAAATTTTAAAACAGAATATATTCTTTATGGCTATACGGGTACCCATATATATATGTAGTAAAAATATAAAAACATAGTCTAGAAGAATCCACACCAAGTTCAAGACAGCATTCACCTTTTAGGAAAGAGGAAAATGAGACCAAGAAAAGGGTATAAATAGGTCTTCGGCTATATCTGTAATGTTTTATTTCTTTTCTACAAATAATATATTGTTAAGATCTATAAAATCTGAGTGGTGAATATAAGGGTGTTTGCTATATTCTTTCTGCATTCCTGTATATTTGAAGTATTTCATTAAATTTTTTATCATAAAAATAGGGGACTGTATAGGGAATGCAGCACCAGCTTTGATATAAAAGAACTGTCCTGTCATCCTATGAGACCATTTGTTTCACAGCTTATCCCAGATTGCTCTTTCCCTAAATTAATGTTAGCCCTTAAAAGAGAGTAGGGGGAAGGATGGAGGGAGGGAAAGGAAAGGGAAGGGAGAGAAGGAAAGAGAGAACGAAAGGAAGGAAGAAGGGGAAAGGAAGAAAGTGAAAAAAGGGGGAGAGAGGAAGGGGGAGGGAAGGAAGGAAAGAAAGGGAAGGTAACAGAGGGAGAGAGAAAGAAAGGAGAGAAGGAGGGAGTGAAGGAAGGGAGGGAGGGAAGGAAGGAAGGAAAGAAGGAAGGAAAGAGGGAAAGGGGAGGCAGAAGGGAAAGAAGAAAATTTCTCCAATGCTGCTAAGCAAAACCAACTTGAAGTGAAATAAAAAATTATGGTCCTCTAGATCAAGAATTTGCAAACTTTCTCTGTAAAGGGCCCGGGAGTAAATGTTTTATGCTTTGCATTTACTGTCTCTGTCACACTCTGTTGTTAAAGCATAAAAGCAGCCACAGACAACACAAACAATGGGCTTGGCTGGGCTCCAGTAAAACTTTACTTACAAAAATAGATCGTGTGTTGGATTTAGCCCAGGGGTGTTGTTCCCATCACGTTGAAAATTTGGCTGAACGATGTCCATGGAATTCATGGGGAATAAAAATACAGACCCCCGTTGGAAAGCATCTGCAAGTAACTGAGTCTCTGATTGGGAGCTTGGGCATGTTGCTTCGCCTTGGCTCTGATGTTTTGAGATCCAGTGATTTTATATGTGTGTGTTTGCTGTCCATTCTGGTCGTAACCAAGATGTATTTGAGCATTCGATAAATCCTGCCTAGCCTCGCAGTTTCAGATGGTGAAGCCCCATTACTCAAATTTCTCTTTCCACTTGTGAAAGTGAGTGGCCCTGGGAATGAGCATTCAAATCTTAAGCAAAAGCAAAAGCTCTTCTTTTCACCCAAGGATCCAAAATGGACAGCAGAATTGCTGTAAACATTTACTGTAGCTGTGATCTGTGATAACAGCCCTAGGAAACACAAATGGGGACATGAACATTCAGTCATCACATGTAAGTCATAAAATCTGAGGCTTTATCTCCAGGGATTGTGCACATTTGCATAAGATGCACATGCCGGGAAATTTTACAGAATGGAATGCTTCTCAGAGCTTGATAAGGCAGGTGCTCGAGGGAGCCAATAAAATTCAGGAGCTCATGGAAGGACAATCAGTTCTGAGTCTCAGAGCCCAAAAATACGTGACCAAAAGATGGTAGCCATAGCCAACGCTCCACATCACAGCTGCCAATGGCCTGGGCCACATCTGGGCTCTGCACCTACAATGCCCTGTACTTTCTCCTCTCTCCCATTAATTACAACCCCACTGGATCCCTACATTCTCCCCAAGCCTTCGTGGCAGGTCCCTGGTTGTTCGCTCTCTGGACAGGAATCTCACACTAACCCTCCTCTCTTCTCACCCATCACAAACCATCCGTGCCCTTCCACACACACACACAATTGGTGAATCTTGGTTTGTGTGGAATATAAATGCCTTATCACCGTATTTTGTTAATGAACAGTTATTTTCTTTTGTCCATGAGCCCTGCATTCCTGTGTGTCTTGAAGTGAGCTTCTAGCAGGTACAGTTGATATCGGTGTAATTCTTTTTAAAATTTCAATGCTCTGTGACCCATGTTGAACCTAAAACCAGCCGAATTTACGAAGACAAAGCCTTGCCTGTCTGCATCCCTCCCTACCCTACCCCCTGCCCAGATGTCCCTCCTTCAGATCCTTCATATACCCAGTGTGCAGCTGATGTTCTCTCCCCATAGTCCTCTCAAATCCTACTCTTGGCAACTCATTTATATTGTGAGGTTCATTTAACTGGCTCTCTTCATTTTTCCCAGGGTCTTGAATTCTAACCTACTCTGTACTGGAAGAATGAAAGACTTAGAAGGTAGGGGGCATATAATGTCAAAAGGTTTAGATTCAGTGTCAGGAAATCTGCTTCTCATCCCAGTTCTGCTCCTGTTTAACCCCTCATAGTCCCTTCCCCTGTCTGGACCTCAGTTTCTCCATCTGTAAAATGAAAGCGCAGAACATAAGACCACATGATCTATCCCATCCCCTCATTCTATGCCTTCATCCCACCCAAGCACAGGGCAGAACACTGAGAACAGACTTTGGCACTGGAGAGACCCTGCTCCCAGTTCTGGCTTTGCCACGTACTAGCTGTGTAATTTGGGGAAATTACCTAACTTCTCTGAGACTCAGTTTTCTCTCCCATAAAATGGAAAATAAAATAAAAATCCCAGCCAGATGTGGTGGCTCACACCTGTAATCCCAGCACTTTGGGAGGTCAAGGCAAGAGGATCACTTGAGGCGAGGAGTTCAAGACCAGCCTGGGTAACATAGTGAGACCCTATCTCTAAAAAAAAAAAAAAAAAAAAAAAAGTAAAAAATAGCTGGGCATGGTGGCACATGGATGTAGTCTCAGCTACTCAGGAGGCTGAGGCAGGATGATCACTTGAGCCCACGAGTTTAAGGTTGCATTGACCCATGATCATGCCACTACACTCCAGCCTGGGCAACAGAGCAATACCCTATCTCAGTAAACAAACAAATAAATAATAGAAATCCCTACCCATGCTGTACTCTTCTGAGAACTGGAGAGGGTGTAAGTAAAACCCCTGTTGGAGACTAAATGACGAGACCAGCACTAAGTAGAGGGCAGCTATCAAACTTCTTATGTATTTGTCAAGGGATCCCTGGTCTTGGGCAATGGATGGAGTAAGTATAATGTTGGTCATGGCCTCCACTAATATCATGATTCAGCCTCCTTCACTTTCTCCTCCTTTCCTTCAGGGTTAGTTTTTAATTATAAGATAAAAGCCTGGGCTTTTCAGTCTTATTTGGTTAGAGACCAGTGTATAGAGTCTGGACTGGGAAATGCTGGGAAGGCTGGAGAAATCAGGCTTCAGCTTCCTGAGGGAGGGCAGTGCATCTGTCCAAGAAGAGAAAGGGAACGTGAGCAGGAGGGTGACGAGGGTAAGGAGCCTCAAAAATCACACAGAGAGGGAGCAGCACACAACACATACAATTCAAAAGCCAAATTTAGAAAAAGCGGGCTCCTCGGGGATGGGCTCCATCCAGATCTGAGCTGAAAGAGGCTGTCCCTCAGCTCCCTGGGGGCTCCCAAGTCCAAGAAGGTTTAATCAGTAACTTGAAAAATAGGTGAGGTGATAGAGAAGGCAGGGAGAGAGGTTGGGCACCTAATTTATTTATATGACCACCCCTGCCACCCCTGCACCAGCTCTGAGGACAAAGAGTGCTCTTACCATGGCAACTGCAGTCCACAGACTTTCACCTGCTTGAACTGTGGACTTGGAGGACACTTGCCTGGGAGAAGGGGAGGCCCAGCACCCTTCTCTACGTGCACAGTAGACAGGTACCACCCTCCTGCTCATTGCAGTGTGACCTCCTCACCCTCCTGCTCACATTCCCTTTTCTCTTCTTAGACAGACACACTGCCCTTTCTCAGGAAGCCAAAGCCCGATTTCTCTAGCCCTCCCAGCATTTTCCAGTCCAGGCTTTGCACACTGGTCTCTAATCAAATAAAATGGGAAAGCCCAGGCCTTTCATCTTATAACTAAAAACCAACCCGGGGGCCGGGCGCAGTGGCTCACACCTGTAATCCCAGCACTTTGGGAGGCCGAAGCGGGCGGATCATCTGAGGTCAGGAGTTCGAGACCAGCTTGGCCAACATGGTAAAACCCCGTCTCTACTAAAAATATACAAAAATTAGCCAGGCATGGTGGCGTGTGGCTGTAATCCCAGCTACTCAGGAGGCTGAGGCAGGAGAATCACTTGAACCCGGGAGGTGGAGGTTGCAGTGAGCCAAGATCGCGCCACAGTACTCCAGCCTGGGCAACGAGAGTGAAACTACATCTAAAAAAACAAAACAAACAAACAAAAAAAACACCAACCCTGAAGCAGAGGAGGAGAAAGTAAAGGAGGCTGAATCATGACATTAGTGGAGAAAGCACAAAGGCATGGGTCGAGGGCAGAAGCAGTGTGAGTCAGGAAGCTACACAAGGAGGCAGCACTATTCCTAGGTGTTGGCCCCAACTCCAAGACAAAACCTTAACAGCATTATCGGCAAGAGCCTGTTTTCACCAAGTTCAGTGAAAACTTACGTGCAAGACCATTCAGTGGGAAAACAATCATTTCTTCAAAAAATGGTACTGGGAGAACTGGATATCCACATGCGAAAGAATGAAGTTGGGCATGGTGGCACATGGCCATACCATATACATAAATTAACTCACAATGGATCAAAGCCCTAAATATAAGCACTAAAACTATGAAACTCTAAGGAGAAAACAAGGGGGTACATTTTCATGACCTTGGATTTGGCAGTGGATTCTTAGAAATGACACCAAAAGCATAAGCAACAAGAGATAAAATAGACAAATTGAACTTCACCAAGATTTAAAACCTTTGTGCATCAGAGGACATTATCAAGAAAGTGAAAAAACAACCTACAGGATGGGAAAAAAATTTTTGCAAGTCATATATCTGATAAGGGTCTAACATCCAGAATATATGAAGAATTTTTACAACTGATCAAGAAATAGACACATAACCCAATAAAAAAATGTTTATTCATGTAGGCCAGGACAGGAAGGTAATAATGTAAAAGGGAAAAATAACTGTAGTAGGCTGAAGACCTACACATGTATATTTCCTTTAAAGAAAGAACCAAATGTGATGTGATCTAGACTTTGTTCAGATCCTGATTCAAACAAACTAACTGTAAGAAAACATTTTTGAGTTTATTAGGAAAATCTTGATATGGGCCAGGTATTAAACTACCTAAATTAAGAAATTACTGTAAATTTTGTTAGATATGATAATAGCACAATGGTTATATTTTTTAAAAGTCAAAGGTACATTCTGAAGAATTTACAGTGAAATCACATGGGATCTGAGATTTGATTTAAAATACTGCTGAGCGTTATTCACAGTAGTAAAGATATGAAATCAACCTAAATGCCCATCAGTGGTGGACTGAATAAAGAAAATGTGGCACATATACACCGTAATACTATGCAGCCATAAAAAAGAATGAGATTACATCCTTTGCAGCACCATGGATGGAGCTGGAAGCCATTATCCTAATTGAATTAATGCAGGAACAGAAAACCAAATACTGCATGTTTTCTCACTTATAAGTGAGACCTAAACACTGAGTACACATGGACACAAGGAAGGGAACAATAGACACTGGGGCGTACTTGAGGGTGGAGGATGGGAGAAGGGTGAGGAACAAAAAACTATCAGGTATTATGCTTATTACCTGGGTGACAAAATAATCTGTACACCAAACTCCCGTGACATGCAATTTAACCATATAACCTGTACATGTACCCCAATCCTAAAATAAAAGTTGGAAAAAATAAAATAAAATAAAATACTGCTGGGGAAAAAATTGGAAGAGGATAGATGAACCAAAAATGGCAAAATGTTGACAATTGTTAAAGCTAAGTGATCAGTGTTAGGTCCGTGAGTGCTTGTTATCCTATTCTATCTTTGCTTATATATGTTTGAAATTTTCCGTAATAAAAAAAATGCAAATGTTATTTAATGTTGCTGTTGTCTCAACTTTAAGTAATCAGGAAAATAGAAACACTAGCAACTGTATTTTCAGAACCCTACCTAGCTAGAGTAGATGGCTCAATTCAGATCCAATCCAACTCACATCTCACCCAGGGCAGATCTTTTGCAAGATACTGAGATTGGACCAATCTCGCCTTTGGTGCTGGATAGGGGAGAACAACAAGAGAGAGAAAAACTGATCATAGGCAACGAGATCACCATTTTGATAGAGCAATGAGCACTTTGCAACTGCTGGCTAAGGGGAAAAGCTGGAGCTACTCCCTATGTGATCTCAGAAAACACCACCTCTCTCTCTGCCCTACTGCAACCCAGAGAGCTTCTTGCAGAGAGTGCTGAAGGCTCTCAGTTAACCATGTTCGTTATCATTATATCTTCATTCATTTATTTATTTATTTAGTGACAGGATCTCACTATGTCACCCAGGCTGGAGTGCAGTGGTGCAATCATAGCTCACAACCTTGAATTCCTGGGATCAAGTGATCCTCCCGCCTCAGCCTCCTGAGTAACTGTGACAACAGGTGCACACCACCATGCCTGGCTAATATTTTTTATTTTTTGTAGATATAGGGTCTTGCCATGTTGTCCAGGCTGATCTTAAACTCCTGGTCTCACGCAATCCTCATGCCTCAGCCTCCCAAAGTGCTGGGATTACAGGCATGAGCCACCGCACCCAGCCTCGTTATCATTATATCTTACATTTCAAGAACACTTTGTGTTTTCAGATAAATTCACTGGATGCTCACCAACACCCAGTGATCTAGGCAAGGCAGGAATTACTATCCCCATCTTACTCATAAAGAAGCTAAGCTTTTATGACATTTGCCCCAGGTCACCTGCTAGTGGGCAGGGGAACAGACTAGGAGCCAGCTCCTTCAATTATTCTCCAAGGTAGTTTTCTTACTAAAGTCCTATTTTCTTTCTCTTATTCCTTATCATTTACATTTTCTTTTCTTTTCTTTTCTTTTCATACCATTGCTTTAACCTTTATCAGACTGACAGTCACCTTGGGGACAAAAAAAATGCACACTAAAATCTACAAGCAAACTTTTCTCTTCCTACCATCTTTTGGGCTGTCAGAAAGATATCTCAGAAGTTTAGTGGTTTCCTGATTGTTTTGTGTTTTTTTATTGTTGCTTTGTTTTGTTTTACAATCAAGAGGAATTGACCTGAACACTTACAAGGAAGAAAAAGTGAAGTAAAGAAGGAACACAAGGCCGGGTGCAGTGGCTCATGCCTATAATCCCAACACTTTAGGTGGCTGAGGCAGAAGAATTGCTTGAGTCCAGGAGTTTGAGATCAGCCTGGGCAACATAGTGAGGCCCTGTCTCTACAAAAGAATTTTTTAATTAGCTGGGCATGGTGGAACACACCTGTAGCCCCAGCTACACAAGAGGCTGAGGTGGAAGGATCGCTTGAGCCCAGGAGGTAGAGGCTGCACTGAGCTATGATCATGCCATGCACTCCAGTCTGGCAGTCTGGGTAATACAGCAAGACCCTATCTCACAAAAAGGAAGACAAAGAAAGTAGAAGGAAGAAGGAAGAAGAAGAATGAAGAAGAAGGGAGGGAGGGGGGACGGGGAGGGGAGGGGGAGGGGAGGGGAGGGGGAGGGGAGGGGGGAGGGGAGGGGAGGGGAGAAGAGAAGAGAAACACAATGTTTGCTCCAGTAGGTCAGCCAAGAGCTCTGCTCAGCTTTCAAAGGTACCCCAGTCGCCCTCCAATCCTTGAGAAATCTCAGCTCTGCAAGGTGGACCTACAGCTCCAGGTTGGCAAGGACAGCAGGCTAGATGGTAGAGGGGCAGCCCCAGTGGCTGGGTTCAGAAAGAGTAAACATCCCCCAGAGAGTTAGCAATTAAAGGCCCACAGAGCTGATTCCAAGAAAAAGCAGGAGCCTTGTGCAGGGAAAAGGACAGTGAATTGAGAATCGGAGACCTGGATTCTACTCCTGATTCAGGAGAAGTTCGTTCCAACTGCAGGGTTTTCATTTCTCTGTCCATGAAAGAAGACAGAATCTCAGCAGTGCCTTCCAGAGTTGGCACTGGCTGCTTGTGTTTCAGTGCATGAGAAATGTCACATAGAGTCAGATTTTACCCTGGCAGGGCACAAAGGCCCATGCCTGCCTCTAAAGTTGGGGCCAACCCTTAGATATCCCTAACTCCCCCCTTTTTTAAATTGACAAATAAAAATTGTATATATTTATCATGTACTACATGATACTTTAAACTATATATTATGGGATGGCTCAGTTGAGCTAATTAACATATACATTACCTCAAACAAATACTTATCTTTTTTGTGGTGAAAACACTTAAAAATCTTTTTTTTTTTTTAAGAGGCAGGTTCTCACTACCTTTGCCCAGGGTGGCCTCAAACACCTGGGGTTCCCATCTCAGCCTCCTGAGTTGCTGGGACTACAGGCACACACTACTAAGCCCAGCTAAAATCTTTCTCTGATTTTCAAAACACATTGTTATTAGCTATAGTCACCATGTTGTACAATAGATCTCTTGAACTTACTCCTCCTATCTAACTGAAATTTTGTATCCTTTGACCAATATCTCCCCAACTCCCCACCCGCTCACCCCCAGACCCTGGTAACCACCATTCTACTCTCTGCTTCTGAGTTAACTTTTTTAGATTCCACTATGCTGTATTTGTCTTTCTGTGCCTAGCCTATTTCACTTAACACAATGTTCTTCAGGTTCATCCATGTTATGGACATGGACAGCATATTCACAACAAATGACAGCATTTCCTTCTTTTTTAAGGCCGAGTGGTATTCCATTATGTATATATGCCACGTATTCTTCATCCATTCATCCGTTAATGGGACTTATATTGATTCTATATCTTCACTATTGTGAATAGTGCTACAATGAACATGGGAGTGCAGATACCTCTTCGATATATTTATTTCAATTCTTTTACATATATACCCAGTAGTGAGATTGCTGGATCATAGGGAATTCCATCCCTAACTCCCTTTTAATCTTCTATTAAGAACTGCTTTCCCTGAACCTTCACAAACCTGTTTGTGTTTTCAGCCTGCACCACAGTGGAGGACAGATTTCCATTGAATTCCATTGGCTCCTCGATGCAGAAATAGGACTCTACTCCAAGGCGCAAGAAGGCTTAAGGGGCCAAGTTAATAGAAATGTATAGAGCCGCCTCTTGGTGGGCAGCATGTGATGAGGAATGAGAGTGGCAGCTTCTGAGACAGCCCAGCCCTCTGGGGCAGTGGACTCACCGAGATCTTGGTGAAAATGTAGAGCAGCAGGGACAGAAGGGAAAGGTAGACCTGGATCCGCTGGCCTCCAAACCGCTTCCTCAGGTACTCTGGCATTGTCACCACCTGCATGGGGTGCGAGGGAGGTCACTGCCAGCCACAGTGACCAGAGGGCCCAGAGCAGACAGAACAGTGACACCATCCTAATATCAGAGCCACAGAAGTGTGGTCAAGGATTCATAACTTTTGCTGGCCAGAGAAGTCTGCGAGGTGGCCAGATGGCCCCTGACCTCCAGCCATTTGCTCATTTTAATCCCATATGCCCTACCACTGTAGGAGTAGCTAGGTGTTATCCCAGCCCAATAAACCTGTCACTGGGCATCACTAAGGAGCCAGACCCTTGCCCTGGAGGAGGAGGAGGAATATATCCATATAATGCCACTGCAGACAGTCGGGAATTTCATAACCTGGGAGTGAAAGCCAATCCACAGATTTTTCTGCCATTTATCCCATAATGTCTCCTCTGCCCTCTAGGAAGACCAAGCTGACAGATACATTTGCCAGCAGGAAATGAAATAACAGAGCAGATACTTACCCCAGCCTTAATATAGATGGGGACAAACAGCCAGCCCAGCACAACCACCAAAACCAGGGCCTGAAATGAACACAAAAGGTGGACTCAAATTAGGAGGAAACTTAGCCCATCCCTGCCACCTGAAGGGCCCCTCAGCTGCTGCAGAAAAATTACCCAGCATGTTCTCCCCTAAGGAGCCGTTAGAGACTGCAGGAGGCCTTTGCTGCCTAACTGACCCATGGAAATAGCAGCTAGAAAACAGCAGAGAGGAGCCCAGGAGGCTGCTCATCAACATCACAGCAGTGGGCCACAGCTAGAGCACTGGGTTCTCCTTCACCTCTTCCCTGGTTTACACAGAGTAAAATGCCATTTAGAGAGCTTTAATAATAACAATAATAATAATTAATAATTACATTTATTATGACGACTACTATTATTATTAGAGGCCAGGAGTTCAAGACAAGCCTGGGCAATATAGTGAGGCCCTGCTTCTACAAAAAATTAAAAAATTCGCCAAGCATGGTGGCACATGCCTGTAGTCCCAGCTACTTGGGAGAGTGAGGTGGGAACATCGCTTGAGCCCAGGAGTTTGAGGCTGCAGTAGGCTATGATTGCACCACTGCACTCCAGCCTGAGCAGTGGAGCAAGACCTTGTCTCTAAAAATAAAATAATAAAAATTTTTTTAAAAAAAATAATAATAATAATAATGGAAATCTGGTGGTAAGCATTTCCAAACCTCAAACATGGCTAGAAGGGCCTTGGCTTTTTAACATGAAGAGAAAACAGAAAAAATACTATTGCTGTCATACCAGTGGTTTTCTCATGCTACTCTGGTGGAAAGGGAGCAGGGCCCTGAGGCTCCTGAAGTCATGCCCCTCCTCTGTCTGCACCCTGGGGTGACCCTGAAGGGTTCCCTAACATCTTCAGCTCCTCTGAGCATAGATTGAACTGGTTGACTGCTAAGGCTCCTTCCAGCCCCAGTGCACCATGGCTGCAGTGTTACTCACATTCCATTCAAAGCCTCCAATGGCGATGCCTGAAGCTGCCCCAGTCCCGGCCAGCCCCACAAAGTGGCCACTTCCAATGTTACTAGCAAAGAGGGAGGCTCCAATCTGGAAACGCAAAAGAAAGTCAGGTGAGGGCTCTGTGCTCTCCCAGGACACTCAGAGTGGGTCAAAGAGAGAGGAGACATGTCAGCCAAGAGAAGGACAAGAAAGAGCAGAGGTGGGCTGGGAGAAAACTGTGCTGGAATCATCAGGGACAGCTGGTTCAGAAGGCAGATGTGGAAACTTGGAAAACAGTAAAGATGAAAAGGAGAGGATTGGAGAAGGAGCAGTGGGATGTATCCCAAAACCAGATCATCTGTGAGTCTTTTGTGGGCCCCGTGTCCAATCCTGAAGAAGATATGGGAAGTCCCACAGCCACCAGGCCTCCCTAAAAATCTCCTTCAAGGCTGTGTGCCTAGGAGCATGAGCCCTTGATCTCCATATCCCCCAGCATGCCTGGTGGCTTAGGGTCTTGCCCAATACAGGCTCTCAGTAAACACTGACAATTTTCTTGAGAGAAATCATTTCAAAGGAAGCCTCTGGACCTTAGTCATTTGGTCAAATGAGGAGGGGCGTGGAGCTGATGATTTGCAAGTGATTCCTAGCTATTAAATTATGTGACTCCATGAACTCCCAAGTAACAGAGATGATATTAATAATAATAATGATTCTCTAGATCATACAGTATTGATACTTTTTACAAAGGTTCTAGGGACCACACGGACACGTGCACAAAACACTGCATTTTTCAAGGATACGCACATGTCTAAATACAGATTATAGAAGACAGATTGGAAGCACATGTATCAAATACCCAAGAGTGGAAGACTGGAAGGGGAAAGGAGAATAAGACTGTGAATGGTAGACAAAAAAAGAAAGTATCAGGTAAAGCAAGAGAGGGATCTTGCACAACCAATCATAATACTGTGTCAGCAATTCAATTGCATTTGAGGCCAAAAAGAACTCCAGAAAGTTCTAAAGTCCTTCTGTATCCAAGAGGAGAAGGTACAGCAGCATTTGATAAGAACCAAACAAGTGTAATTATCCCCATTCTTGCTAAGCAGATGAAGAGTGGCTTGTAGTTACTTATCTAATGTCCCAAAGATGGTCCAAACCTGGAACAAAACGCTTATTTCCCAAAAGAGATTATGCCAAGAAACTGTTCTAACTATACCAGCCCCTATTCCCAGTATAAGGCAGCTGGTGCTTAGTGCCAAATATTAAGTCAGGGGAGAGGGAGATTTCTGAAGGCTTAGCCAGAAGAAGTTCTCAGAATGACAATGAGGAGACAGTGGTTGGTGCAGGTGCATTAATACATTTGCTCAACAAATATTAACTTAGCATCTACTACACGTGTTAAGCACTAATAACAGCTGTGAATAACACAGACAAAATCCCTACTCTCAAGAAGCTTATATTCAAATACTGTAAACATAAATAAATAAACAACAAAAACAATGATCCGAGAGTGGTAAGTGCTATGAAGAGAATAGAGGGTATGACAGAGTGATTAGATTGAAGAGTCTGAGAAGGTGACTCTATGGACTTTCTCTAATATTAAAGAATTACTATTATAATTCAGACCTTTAAGCTGAGATCTAAATGACAAAAAAGTTAATCATTCAGAGACCACAGGAATAGCATTCCACCTAAGCAAAGACCCCCTGACACAGGTATGCACAGTTGAGAAGCAAAAAGAAGGTTGATATATGATAATGATTTGTGATCTTAACATTTTAAAATAGAGTCATTTAGGCTGGGTGTGGTGGCTCATGCTTCTAATCCCAGTACTTTAGGAGGCTGAAGCAGGAGGATTGCTTCAGACCAGGAGTTGGAGACCAGCCTGAGCAACATAGTGAGACCCGGCCACTACAAAAAAAATGTAAAAACTTAGCTGGGCATGGTGGTGCGTGCCTGTAGTACTACCTACTTAGGAGGCTGAGGAGGGAGGATCAATTGAGCCCAGGACCTGCAGGCTTCAATGAACTATGATCGTGCCACTGCACTCCAGCTGAAGTGACAGAGTGAGACCCTGACTCAAAAAAAAAGTTAGTTTTATTCTAAGTGAGATGGGATGACACTGGAGGATTTTAAGCAGGAGAGGGACAGGACCTAATTTGCTTTTTTAAATTGCTCTAAGTTGTGTATAGATTGCAGTGTTGGGGGCAAGGAAGAAAATAGAACAACCAGCTGGGAGACTATCCCTGGCTTAGGTGAGAGGGGACAGTGGCTTGGACTAGGGTGACAGCAGTTGAGACAAAGGCAAGCGTAGAGATTAGGGAGTATGTTTTAGAAACAAAGTTGGCAGGCTCTGTTGATAGGTTAGATGTGGGAAATGTGGGACAGAATAATCAAAGGTAACTCCTAGATTTGGGACTTGAGTAACTGGGTGGACGCCATTCATTAAGAAGGGGAAACTAGGGGAAGGCAGGTTGTTTAGAGACATCTACCTCCTTCTGCTCAAAGCTTGAGGGGGATAACAGTCCACTTTTTTTTTTTTTTCCTAAGACAGGGTTTTATTCCTGTCACCCAGGCTGGAGTGCAGTGGTCCATCTCAACTCACTGCAACCTCTGCCTCCCAGGCTCAAGTGATCCTCCAGCCTCAGCCTCCCAAGTAGCTGGGACTACAGGCGCGCACCACCACAGCCGACTAGTTTTTGTATTTTTTGTAGAGACGGGGGTTCGCCATGTTACCCAGGCTGGTCTTGAACTCCTGGTCTCAAGCAATCCATCCGCCTTGGCCTCCCAAAATGCTGGGATTACAGATGTGAGCCACCCTACCCAGCCTAACAGTCCACTTTTAATCAAAAGTTTCATTCTGCAAGTGGCCTACCTGCCCTGACCCACTATCTTTTCATTTATCACCTCTTGCTTGATAAATAATTAAGCCTAATGCTGTACTATTAAGGACATAATTACCAGAAATTATTAACTGCATTAGATGAGTCATAAGTTCAAAAAGTCCTCTCCAATATCTCTCCCAAACAGGGACATTGTCCTTTAAGCAATGTCAGGCTGTCCTGAAGTCCCCACTCACTATCTGAGAAGAGAGTGGAATGAGGCCAGGAGAGTTCGGGTATCAGAATGTCCTGAGCCCAGGTTCTATTCATTTCTATTAGGGGAACAACCTTCCTCATTCTGGACTCCCTCTCTTTACCCCATGACCTACACTTAATCATTTACCAAAACTCTGACTCTGCCTTCACAATATTATGGCCACCTAGCTCTTTCTAGATAGCCCTTGTGCTGCCTGTCACTATCTCTCAACAGGACCAAGTAGCGGGCTGCTAGAGGATCTCTATTCTCTCCTTTCCATCAGTCACCTCCCCACCCACCCACATGGCCAAGCAACCTCCCTAAAGCACAACTCTGATCATAACACTGACCTATTCAGAGACTTTCCTGGACACCCAAAAGGGCCTGTCAGGTGGTCTTCCTGACAGCTACAGGCCTAAAAACTGTCTTAGGAATATAGCAAGGTTTCAAGGTAAAGTTCCCTCAAGTGCAGAGACAGCATGAGCTTTACAACTCAAGTTTGAATGTTTTCTTGACCTCTTACTCTCTGGGTGATTAGAACATCTGCAAGCCTCCGTCTTCTCTCATGGCAGGGTTGGTGCAGGAGTCAAATGAAATAATGAACCAGTTGTGACTGACACAGCTGATTCTCAATCAGTGTCCCTTCCCTCCTTTCTCCTCCCAAGAGGATAATTACTTCACCCTCAAAGACACTTAGCAAAAGCTACAATGGATACTGTTATAGACAGAATTGTGTCCTCTCTGCAAAATTCCTATGTTAAAGCCCCAACCCCCAAGGTGATGGTATTTGGAGATAGGGCTTTTAGGGAGATAATAAGGTTAAATGAGCTCATAAGGGTGGGGCCCCAATCTGATAGGATTGGTGTCCTTATAAGAAGAGACACCAGAAATCTCTTTCTCTCTCTCCCCATATACATGCACAGTAAAGAGGCCATATATGAGGACACAGCAAAAAGGCAGCCGTCTACAAGCCAGGAAGAGAGGCCTCCCCGGAAGCCAACCCTGAAGGCACCTCAATTTTTGACTTCTAGAACTATGAGAAAATTAATTTCTGTTGTTTAAGCCACCTAGTCTGTGGTATTTTGTTGTGGCAGCCTGAGCCAACTAAGACAGACACCATTGTTTTATGACCTGTACTCCCCTGCCAGGTTTTTACACTGCCACTCCTGTTGCTGGAACTCACCAACAATGCGTTCATCATGCCAATTTCCCAAACATTTTCTCTGTCCACTCCTCATCCATGCTCATGCCCATTTGAGAATGGGCACCACTCCCATGCAGGGAGTGACCCAGTGCCGTCAATCATCACGTCCTTCTCTAGAATTTCTCCCCCATGTTCCTGTGAATTCAGGATTTCAGACTTTATCTAAAATTTCCCCAACTTGATCTCACCTCTCACTTACTACTTTACCAACCCTCCTCACCCTCCAATGGGACTCAAAAGGCCATTACAAGTATGTGGATACTTTTGCTGCTTGTTGTGCAAGATGAACTGAGTCTGACCAAACCCAACAGGTCTGAGAGCATGAGAATTGGGAAAATAACATAATGTCACATCACAAAATGCAGAAAGGCTATTTATTCTTTTGATTTTAGGGAATTAATCACATTTTACCACGTAGATGTCCTATCCTGGAAGGTTGGTGGGAGGGGAGATGTACGGAAAAATTAACCAATCATTGAATCTTTCAGAGTGGAATGGGTCTGTGGATGCCACAGCTTAAGTCCCCTTTGCAACACCTCCCAAGTGATGGTCAGTTCTTAATGCATACCTCTAGTGACAGAGAACTCGCTACCTTACAATGCAGCTGAATCTGTGGTAGAACAACTCTACTTGTTAAAAAGTCATTCTTTATTTGAGCTGAAGTCTACCCATCAGTCCTGCTTCCACCCTTTATAGTGCAACAGAACAAGTAAAATCTCTCTTCCACAAGTTAGCCCTTCCAATATCTGAGGACAGGGATGGTTTCCCTGCTTCAGTTTTCCCCAGACTTCTCATGTGTCTGTTCCTCTTCTCATGTGTCTGTTCCTCATCGACAATGGACTTGATTCTCATCACCATTGTTGTTCTCTGCTGCCCTGAGCCCCATCTCTGTCCCCAAAGTGGACCTCAGACCTGAATAGACTATTCCAAACATGAGCCATCCAAAATGAAGCAAGCTGCCCCTCTTGACTTCCTGTAAGATTTTAACATCATCCACCTTCAAATCCTCTTTGAAACCTGTCACTCAGCCATGAGTTCTTGGCAGTACGGAGGACCTAGGCCAGTCCCTCTAATTGCCATCACTATTAAAGAATCTGCCTCTCTGTTATTTGGAACATTCAGCAAGAACAGATTTCCTCCCATTGCAATTTAGATTCCTGAAAAGACCAATTTGGTTTGCCTTAACAAGACACAATGGCTCTATCACTTAAATTCTTTTTACTTTAGTCCCTCCAGGGTTTGGCACAAATTTAATGTTTCCCCCTTGTGCCTCCTCTAAAGGGAAAACTACCTAAACCAAAAACATCAGGCAAAATCATTTCTCCCTACTGACTTTTTTTTTTTTTAAGACAGAGTCTCGCTCTGTCACCCAGGCTAGAGTGCAGTGACATGATCTCAGCTCACTGCAACCTCCCCGTCCCAGGCTGAAGTGATTCTCCTGACTCAGTCTCCCAAGTAGCTGGGACTACAGCTGCATGCCAGCATGCCCAGCTAATTTTAGTAGAGACAGGGTTTGACCATATTGGCTAGGCTGGTCTTGAACTCCTGACCTCAGGTGATCTGCCCGCCTCAGCCTCCCAAAGTCCTGGGATTACAGGCATGAGCCACCGCAGCCAGCCGCTACTGACAATTAATGTTAGAAGTCAGAAGCTGGCAGGAATTGCATCTGTCTCTCGAACCAAAGACAGGTGTTACTCTATTTAATGACCCACCCAGACCTATTGAAATCAGAGTAATAAGCTCTTCGGGTGATTCTTATGCCCAACAAAGTTTGAGAAGCCTGCCCTAGAGTGTATTGAAAGCCACTGTTTCCTCCTTAAATTTGTTTTCATCACTCTTTGGAAGCAGGGATGCAGTCTGTAACTACACAATTAGAATGCTAAAATCTGGCCTGGTGGTGTGGTGTCTCAGGCCTGCAATACCAATACTTTGGGAGGTTGAGGTGAGAGGACCACTTGAGGCCAAGAGTTCAAGACCAGCCTGGGTAACATAGCGAGACCCCGTCTCTACAAAAAAATTAAAAACTAGCCAAGCATGGTGGCATGTACCTGTAGTCCTAGCTACTTGGAAGGCTGAGGTGGGAGGATCGCTTGAGCCCAGTAATTCAAGGTTGCAGTGAGTGTAATCATGCTGCTGCACTGCAATTGGGGGGACAGAATAAGACCGTGTCCCCTCCAAAAAATGCTAAGATCTGGAGGACAAAAAGTGAAAGAGGCTCTCTCCAAAATTCCCTGCTTAACTGCCAGAGTTTTAAAGATCTGTTACCCGCTGGGCACAGTGGCTCACACCTGTAATCCCAGCACTTTGGGAGGATGAGCCAGACAGATGACCTAAGGTCAGGAGTTCAAGACCAGATATGGTCAACATGGTGAAACCCCATCTCTACTAAAAATACAAAAAAATTAGCCAGACGTAGTGGTAGGTGCCTGTAATTCCAGCTACTCGGGAGGCTGAGGCAGGAGAATCACTTGAGCCTGGGAGGCAGAGGTTGCAGTGAGCCGAGATCGCGCTATTGGGCTCCAGCCTGGGCAACAAGAGCAAAGTTCCATCTCTTAAAAAAATATATATATATATGTGTGTGTGTGTGTGTGTGTGTGTGTGTGTGTGTGTGTGTGTATGTGTATATATATGTGTGTATGTATATATATGTGTGTGTATATATATGTGTGTGTATACATGTGTGTATATATATATGTGTGTGTATATATGTGTGTGTGTGTGTGTGTGTGTGTGTGTGTGTGTGTGTATAACCATGGCCCCTGTGCTGCCCAGTGGGCGGCATTTTCACTTCAACCACATGCCAACATATAGAACATGGAGTGAAAGAAACTTTGACTGATCTCACCAGGGAGGCCCCGGAACTGGAAGGCTTGGTAGAATCAAGACTTCCATGATACCATCAGGCCGCAGCAAAGTTATGAAAGCAAAGATATTTCGACTGGAAATCCACTGAAGCTACTCAAAATCTTGGTGGGAAATCATTCCGCAAACAATTTATCTCCTCAAGAGATGGGATTGTGAGAGTTCTCAGAGGTGATCTCAACCACCAGAGACAACAAAGGTTGTTGACCAGAGCACTTTTCAACCTCTCAGCTGTGGCGTGAAATTCAGAAGAGGAATTACAGGCACTCCAGACTCTCTGCAATAAAGTCAGTCCCACCTTCTCCAATCTCAGCAGCCCTGCCATGCCCTGCCATGTCCCCTCCACTCTGGCAAAACCACACTGGCTCAATTTCCAAGATGTGCTCTGTGCTTTCCTGCCTCCTGCTTTTGTTTATGACATTTTCGTTTTTCCTGGAATGCCCTCTTCATCAAGCTCTGTCTATAAAAACACTTCCCTCATCTGCAGAATAAAGCCCAGTCCCACCTCTCCACTGACACCATCCAGAGCCGATCTCCATCCTCCAATCTCTTACCTCATGTGTTGTCTGTTCCCCTCTCCTGGTGCGTGTCACATCCCCACTTTGATAACTGCTTCCACACAAGTCTGCTGCCCCAAATACCTTCTAGCCTTCAAAGAGCCCACTTTTGGGACAGAGTCTTTTTCTGTCGCCCAGGCAGGAGTGCAGTGGCATGATCTCGGCTCACTGTAACTTCTGCCTCTCAGCTGTGGCATGAAATTCAGAAGAGGAATTTCAGGCACTCCAGGCTCTCTGCAATCCAGTCCTGCTTCCACTTAACAGAGGACATTCTTTGCACATGGCAAGGACTCAGTAAAGATCTGCTGAGTGAGTAAGTGATATCAAATCTTTGAATGTTCCACTTGGGGAAACAACAGAAACCATAGCAACCAAATGTCTGAGAGCTGCATTTATTCCCACTGGGGCATGGAGTCAGGACTCTTCTCAGGGACATGCCAAGGACCACTCTCTCCTGAAGAAGAGGCAATAAACCTAGCCTGCCAGGCCTACCCAGGGCCCATGAGAACAGCAGGGTATACTGGAGACTATGAAGTGGCTCTGTGAAATATCAGTCTGGCAACCCACAAGCTCAGTGTTCATAAGAACAAGACCATAAGGGGAACTGACCTTATAGGTTAGTCCGTCAAATAGGATTTTTTTAATGTTAAATACTTGGTGTTGGCAAATAAATAGGCTCTCCCACATATTTCTGGTAGAGATGTAAATTGATACCATTTTTCTGGAAAGTTGTCGGTTGGTACACGTTAAAATCATTTAAAAGTTTGTCTCCTTCCACTTATATGACCCTATTTTTAGGACTCGGTTTTAAGCAAATTATCAGAGATGCAGACAAAGACTTAGATACAAGGATTTCATCAGTATGTTCATTGCTATGTCATTTACAACAGAGGAATGTTGGAAACCACGTAAGGGCCCAACAATAGAAAAACAATTGGATAAATTCAAGTTCATATTTATGATAGAATTTTAAAAAAATTTTTGTAGAGATGGGATCTCGCTATATTGACTAGGCTGGTCTCAAACTCCTGACCTCAAGCTTTCCTCCCAGTTTGGCTTCCCAAAGTGCTAGGATTATAGGCATGAGCCACTGCACCCAGCCATATGATGGAATAGTGTGCAGCCATTAAAATTATAGCTTTGAAGAATTCGTTATGACATGAGGAGATACAAACCTATATACCCTATGAGCCCCAAAATGTTTAAATATATGCATAGGTGTGTGTGTGTGTGTGTACCTGTGTATACATATATATATCCAAATTTAACAATGATTATCTTGGGAAGACAAAACAATGAGTGCATTTTTAAAATACTTTTCCAGTTTTTTCACAAGGGGTTTGTATAATTTTATAATCAGAACACAATCCTTTAAAATCTTTAAGAATAAGGAACAACAATTCCAGAGCTGTCTCAGATTCACTAGCAGAGCCTGAGGACTGAAAGCAAAGTAGGCATGTAAGTTATGTGTTTTTTGGGGGGATGTAGAAAAAGACGTGAAAATGTCACTGAGTGCTAGCTACAGTTATGTTTTGTGTGCCTGGAAATAGAAAATTGACATCTTAACCCAGCTCATGTGATGTTAGAGCTGGAATTACCTTGGAAATGATTACAGCTGACCTTGTTATTTTCCAATGAAAATAAAATTGTAGCCCAGAAGAAGAAAGTGATTCACGTTTACATATTAATTTTATCTTTACTTTCACACCCTAAGGACAGTAAGTCAGCATGTGCACACTCAGGATCACAAATCCAGGCATCAAGAATTGTCCTGGGGGCTGGGTGCGGTAGCTTATGCCTGTAATGCCAGCACCTTGGGAGGCCATGGCAGGAGGATCACTTGAATCCAGGAGTTTGAGACCTGCCTGGGCAACATAGTGAGACCCCATCTCTCCAAAAAAATAAAAAATTAACTGGGTGCAGTGGCACTGTCTATAGTCCCAGATACTCGGGAGGCTGAGGAAGGAGGATCCTTTGAGCCCAGGAGGTCTAGGCTTTGATGAGCTGTGATCACACCACTGCACTCCAGCTTGGGCAACAGAGTGAGATCATATCTCAAAAAACAATGAAAAGAATTGCCTAGGGCAATGGACAACTGGCTTCACAATCAGAGGCAGCCAGGGGATTTTTAAAAAGGATCCTGTATCAATAATCATACTTGAAAGTACAATTAAATGGCATGGACATCCTTTTCCTCCCCTCCTTCAAAGCACACTGTGAACCTTCCAACCTGGTTCTAATCTTGGTTCCGCCATAGCAAACTATGTGACCTTGAGGCAGTCACTTTACTGCTTTTAGCCTCAGTCTCTTCCACTGTAAACCAAGGATAATAATCTTTTTTGGCCTACCCTAAAGGGTATTACTGGACTTTAATGATGTGACAAAATTTAAGAAAGTTTTGCTCCACAAAGACATGCTATTCTGAAGAAGTATTGATGCTTTTACACAGCCCATGTTTTTATAGATTACCCTGAATTTCCTGAAAGAAACAGAGTCATCGTTTTCTCCTTGAGGAAACAAGGTCATCATAGCCCAAATGGAAAATGCAGTCAGCTAATTTCAGGAAACATTTTTCTTTGTTAACAAACCATCTAAGACCCAGAGTGTCCAGAATTCTGGAGATGGCTTCCTGCTCCCTGCTTTTGTCCTTCTCTTTAAGGGATATCGGGAGATCCCAGGGCGTCTTCTCCATGCCTTCTCTAGGCTGTGCTGGACTCCTCCCTTGGGATATCCTCCAATAGTGGTCCTTAAACTTTAACATAATCAGAACACGAGATATACAGTTAAGTCTGCCTATCTTGAATATGCAGATTCACAGATAATATATTCATTATACATTTGTAGCATAAGTATGTCCCGAATATTGCATGGGACATACTTATGCTAAAAAAAAAAAAAAAAAAAGACAGGAAGGTATGTATTGTTTGCCTGAAATTCAGATTTAACTGGGCATCCTGTATTTTTATTTGTGAAATCTGGCAACCCTAATCAGAATCACCTGGAGGACTTAAAACACAGACTGGTCAGGCATGGTAGCTCACACCTATCGTCCCAGCACTTTGGGAGGCCAAAGGGGGAAGACTGCTTGAGCTCGGGAGTTCGAGACCAGGCTGCGCAACATAGCGAGACCTCACCTCTACTAAAAATCAAAAATTAGCCAGGCGTGGTGGCACGCACCTGTAGTCCCAGGTACTCAGGAAGCTAAGGTGGGAGGATCGTTTGAGCCCAGGAGATCAAGGCTATAGTAAGTTATGATCACGTCACTGCACTCCCACAGAGCAAGACTGTGTCTCAAAAAACAAACAAACAACAACAACAAAAAACATACGCAGATTACTGGGCCCCATTTGCTAGCGTTTGTGATTCAGTAGGTCTGGTTTGAGGCTAGAAATTTTGCATTTCTAACAAGAGTGCAGGTCTTGCTGATGCTGCTGGTCTGGGTACCACAGTTTGAGAGCCCCATCCTGGGAGAATAAGAAAGGGAGAGGAGAATGCTAATTTTTACAGCACCACCTTTGGGCCAAGGGTTGGACCATGTATTTCATTTGCTTTTTCTTATTTAATGCCCACTACAGTTCTGTGAGGTTTGTATTATTCTGATCTTCATTTACAGATGACAATAAGGATCAGAAGGTTGAAGTGACTTGCCCAAGGTCTTATAGCCAAAGGTGACTGAAGTCCCAGGGGCACAGGGAGAGGCTGTAGCACACACTGACTTTCTGGTTTTTCCCAGGACATTCCCTTCTGAATGTCCCTGAAGGGGCACAGTGGGGTGAGAACCTCCTACCCATCCCACTGTAAACTCAGGAATGGAATGTGCTCATCTGTGTCATGTTTTCATATTCCTTCTTCACCTTCTAGGAACTTGTCTTTAATCATGATTAGTGTCTCTCTTAGGAAGCTCTCTCTTTCCACAGAGGAAGTTTGAAAAGATTTAATCTTGGATCATTGCCATCTCAAGGATCACACTTCCTGGATTGGGACAGAAAATCAGATGGAGCTCCTATATTCAGAGTATTTTATTTCTGAGACTCTAGTAAATATTTAGGCACAGGCTTTGTTCCAGAGTCATCACAGTCTCTATTTACTCGGCCAACTCCTATTCCCATGGACAATGGTCCTCTTTCACTCATTACCTTCATGAACTTCTCTCCTTGCCCAAAGAAACAAAGGGGCAAGAAATCAGGAAACCACTGACATTTTCCCACCAGTTTTTGGCACAAAAGGCAGGTGAGGTCTTCCACTGGCGTTTAGAGGTTAAGGAGGCTGAAGACCAATCCATCCTCTCATCGAGATGAGCCCATCTTTGGAATCATCAGCAATTCAGGGTCACTCACTCAAAGCACCTGATCTAAATATACCATCTTGGCCGGGTGCAGTGGCTCACACCTGTAATCCCAGCACTTTGGGAGGCCAAGGTGGGCAGATCACATGAGGCCAGGAGTTCAAGACCAGCCCGGCCAACATGGTGAAACCCTGTCTCTACTAAAAATACAAAAAAATTAGCCAGGCTTGGTAGCACAAGCCTGTAATCCTAGCTACTAGGGAGGCTGAGGCAGGAGAATTGCTTGAACCTGGAAGGTGGAGGTTACAGTGAGTCAAGATTGCACCACTGCACTCCAGACTGGGCAACAGAGTGAGACCCTGTCTCAAATAAATAAATAAATAAATAAATATACCATCTGTACCCCACACTGGCCCCCTTTCAGTTTTTCAAATATCCCAAGCTTCTTCCTACATCAGGGCCTTTGGCCATTCTGTTCCTTCCACTTGGGTTACTCATCCCAGAATCTTCACATGGCTGGCTCCTTCTGATCATTCAAATCTCAACCTGAATGCTCAATCCTCAGAAAGGCCCTCTTTGAGCCTATGTTGAATAAGGAAGACCCTTCTCCCTCCCACTGAACCTCACCCTTGACTCAAATACACTTTCTTCTGAGCACTTAACTATTATTGATAATTTTACGTATATTTTGTAAGAATGTGAGGGACATAAACACACACATGCACATGGATATATCAGCACCTACATGGCATCTGGCACATAGTAGGTATCAACATGCAGTTGTGGAATGAGAGAATACTACTACATAAATAGATGAATGATTCAATTCACAGCTTAAGGAGGAGAAGCTGGAGATGAGAAACAATTACTATTTTATTTTTTTTTAGATGGAATCTTGCTCTGTTGCCCAAGCTGGAGTGCAATGGTGCGATCTCAGCTCACTGCAACCTCCATCTCCTGGGTTCAAGCAATTCTCCTACCTCAGCCTCCCAAGTAGCTGGGATTACAGGCACCTGCCACCACGCCCAGCTAATTTTGGTATTTTTAGTAGAGACGGGGTTTCATCATGTTGGCCAGCTGGTCTTGAACTCCCAATCCAGGCGATCTGCCTGCCTCGGCCTGCCAAAGTGCTGGGATTACTGGTGTGAGCCACCGCACCCGGCTGAGAAACAATTATAATGATGATAATCATGATAGGCATCCCTTGGACAGCATTAACTATATAGTGTCCTAAGAGATTTACATGTATTAACTAATTTAATCCCAGATATATTTCTAATATGAATAATACAACGAATTCATTTTAACTGATAGTTTCACCACCTTTCTGCCTCTTCCGACTTCTACCAACCAGAAATACGGATTACAAAAAATGGTATTTTTTTTCTGTCTACAGAAGCACTAATCTGTTAGAAAATTCTGGGAAGGCAGCCAGTGAGAAAGGAGAAGCCAGATGCTTAGGTACTAACTAGATGGCAGGGACTTGGTTACACATCAATCAATTGATGCCTAGAAACACCAAGAATACATGGAGTGGTGAGTGGTTGTGTATTAATCAGAGAAGCTACTTAGAGGAGAGACTAAGCTATGAAGAATGGGAGGGAAGTGATTCCACCAAAAAAAGAGAAGGATGAAGGGGAGAGAAAGAGGAAAAGAGAAGAGAGGGGAAAGAGAAGGAAGAAAGGGAAGGAGGGAAAGAATGAGGAGAAGGAGGAGAATAAAAAGGAGGAAGAGAAGGTGGAGGAATAGGAAAAGGAGAATGAGTAATAGGAAGAGAAGAAAAGGGAGGAAAAATAAGAAGGAGGAAGAAGAAAGAGCAAAGCAGACACTGCTGTGATAACCCAAAAGCTCCCACCCAAAATATACCAATGGGGAACTACCAAGTTTTGCAAAACCTCGACTCAGACCGAGAAAACAAATGGCCTGAGAGTGAGGAAACATAGCCACACCAAACTTTACCAAGGAGTCCAGTGTGGGCTGAAATTGGGAACTCTGATTAAGGCTTCCTTTTCCAGTTTTACTCCCATGAGCCTAAACAACAACAATTTTTCTCTATGCATAAAAACAGAAATTTGGAGCACTGCTGGAGGCAGGCTTTGACTTAGACCCAGCACCCTTCTAACCTCCTGAATTCTTACCACTGTCTATACTGTGTGGCCCCTGCACCAGAGGCCAGAATATAGACTCAGGTCTCAGGTGACACCACTAAGGGGGACCAGCATGAGGTTCTGGGGACATGTCCCTCTTCTCCCTCATTTCTCTTTAATTCAGCCCATATTTGTCAAGTGCCTTCTTGCAGTGCAAGGCCTTGGTGTTGTGAGGCCAAAAAAAAAAAATTAAGAAAAGCGTAGGCCTAGCTCTCATCACAGGGCACTGGGATAAGTAAGAGCACATGCAGGTAAAAAGCAAGTAGAGCAGGGAGAGAGGGCCAAATGGACCTGGGCCAGAAGAGGTAGGAATTGTTTCCCCCAGGCTTATGAAGAGTCAAGTACTTATCTTTCCTTCTCACTTCTTCCTGGAGTGCATCCCTGCCTCTCTCATGTCCAGTTGCCTGGTTCCCTCTCTTCCTCTCCAATTCATGAGCTCCCCACCCATGTGTTGGGACTACCAGGTTTTTCTAAGACACCCTTTGGCCCCTCTGGTGACATCATAAGTGGCTGGACTTTGACCTGATCATTAGGTTTTAGAAACATAACGATAAAATCAGATATATTTTACCCAAGAGGACTTGAAAAGTTTGAGAACCTGTCCTCTTTCTTCAGGGAAAATTTTCATCAGGGTCTCTGGTCGGCCCCAAATGAAATAATTTCTTGGTTTTCAGACCAATCTTTAGGCCACACCAATTGGCCTCATAAATTTCCATCTCAAAAGACAAGGAGAAAGAGACCTGAATAACCAGAAGATCAGAGGAAGTCTTAGCTCTGTCATTATCTTGTGTAAACGTGGGCAACCCATGGGGTTAATCATCATCTTCACTCTACTTACCTCACTAGATCATTGAGGATTCAATCAGATAAGTGATATGACAGTCCTTCAATAGGTTTCAGTTGCAAAGAAGAACAAGAGCTAAACCTGAGGGTTTAATGTGTGCCAGGCTCTGTTCTGAGACTGTCTGTGTGTGTCCTCAAAACAAGAAATCTGGCCCTCCACCTATTTTTGCAAATAAAGTCAGCCACATCCATTCATTCATCCATTTTCCTTGGATGTTTTTGTGTTACAACAGCAGAGTGGAATAGTTGTGACAGAGATTGCATAGCAGCAAAGCTAGAAATATTTAGAATCTGGCCCTTTACAGAAAAAGTTTGTCAACTATTTTGTTGTTGTTTTGTTGTTGTTGGGTTTGGGATTTTTGTTGTTGTTGTTTTTGTTTTTTGGGGTTTTTGTTGTTGTTGTTGTTGTTTGAAACAGGGTCTCACTCTGTCCCCCAGGCTGGAAGGCAGTAATGCAATCATGGCTCACTGTAGCCTTCACCTTCCCAGATCAAGCGATCCTCCCACCTCAGCCTTCCAAGTAGCTAGGACTACAGGTGCACACCACCACGCCCAGCTAGTTTTTAATTTTTCTGTAGAGATAAGATCTTGCTATGTTGCCCAGGCTGGTCTTGAACTCCTGAGCTCAAGCAATTCTCTCACTTCTGCCTCCCAAAATGCCTGGATTACAGGTGTGAGTCACTGTGCCTAGCTGAAACTTAGAATTTTAGTCCTGGAAGAGCCTTTGAGATTCCTTATCTGACCAGCTCCACATTATAGAGGAGACTCTCAGAGACTCAGAGATTAATGAATTGCCCAATGTCACAAAGCTGGAACAAGCCAAATCCTGTGGCTCCTTGTGCAGTTCCCACTCCCTGCCCTTTGGAATGCTTCTTTCTGAATCTAAGGGAGCTGATCCCATGGAGCTGGCTCTGCCAGTAGTCCTGGTAGGTGTGATCAAACTCTCTTCCAAAACAAGAGTCTCTCACTGGGCTGTGTACCTGGGGCCTCACTTCTCTGTGTAATTTCTGCTGCCAATATCCAAAGAGTGGGGAATTCCCCTTCGAAGCTCAGCCCCTGAGCTTCACAGCTTTCCTACCATCACATCTCCGCACAGACAGCTGTGAGTGAAACGTGGCAAACCCTGGTGCCACATAAAAAGGGAATCCTGGGCCACCAACCAGCCCACAGTTACGTAAGGTACAGTTTCATGGTTTCATGTTACTCAGATGAGTTGCCTTGGCTTGCCTCAAGCATGACTCAGGCTTCCGGGGACCTCCCAGCCCAGATCCCTATGTAAGCTGACTCTTCTTGTAATTTCAATCCTGGAGTCCTTGCTCCTTCCCTCTGATTGTCCCTTGCTTCTATCCTCAAGCCAACACACAAACTGTTTTTCTCTCTGGGCCTCATTCAGTTTTCAGGAACAGAGTCTGTTTCCAGAGTTTCTGAATCTTCACCTGTTTCAGGTCATAACCACTCCTTTCAAAGCCCCCTAAACCCCAGGAATGCCCAAAACCAGTCTCTCCTCTATCCAGTATGTTTTCAGACTTTATGAGCTCTGATTTTCTCCTACTTTTCTTGTGGGTGACAACCCAAACCCTCTCTGTCTCAGGTATATCAACCCAGGTCAATACAAGTTGTTCCTTCTTCCAGAAGCTTCTCTGCTGCCCACTCTTCCTGTGGCACAAAGCGACTGGGATAAAGGCAGATGGAGGGGCAAAGGGCAAGTGAGATGTCAGCAGTGGAGAGCCTCTGACCCCTGTGATATGTTCCTTGGGCCAGCGCATTTGAGAACTAATATTCTGGTTATGGATTTATGGACCAATGATAGGCTTTGAACCAACTTTGTATTTTATTGAAGGACTCTAAGGGTGATTTATTTAAAGGCTATTCCCTTACTACAAGAGATTAAGGGTGCCCAGGAGACCCGATGAGCATGAGACTCACTGTCAAGAATCTGGTTGGGATCCTTGAATCCTAGAATCACCACCACCCAAAGCCAAGAAGAAAATGAGTTCCTAAAGGGAGTATCAGTTAAGCAGTTATGTAAATAGCATTTCAGAGAAAACTTACCGGCCACCACACCATACTTCGGCCTGCCAGGAAGAAGCCTCCAACAGTCCCACGATTGGTGGAAAACATAGCCTGAGGAGGAAAGGGTCAAAAATGTAATCGAAAACTAGAAGAGTGGCCTTGCCAGCCAAAAGGACATACCTCCCCATTCGTGCACCTTCTTCTACCCACTCCACTTTCTGAAACACTTTCACATTCCTTCTTCCCCTGCAGCCTCAAAAGACTTAGATGAAGGAGGCAGGAACCTACATTTGACAGACAAGGAAACTGAGGCTCAGAAGATACATACAGCTTACTGTAGGGCTAGTGCGAAATTAGCTTCCAGTATCACTTCCAGCAAGTCACTCCACCTGGATCTGCTTGCTTGTCTGTTAAATGGCAGGAATGGAACTTTTTATGCCTTTCTTACAAGCATATTGAGGTTCCTAATGAATGCTATATTTATTTTAGCCTCCTGAGTAGCTGGGATTACAGCCACATGGTGGCATGTGCCTATAATCCCAGCTACTCAGGAGGCTGAGGTGGGAGAATCATTTGAGCCCAGGAATTCAAGACCAGCCTGGGCAACATAGCAACACCCATCTCAAAAAAAAAAAAAAGAAAAAGAAATATCATACTTTTAAAAAGTACCATATGGGATGTGAGTTATATCTTTGTTACCAGAAAAGTGAAAAAATGCTCTAAGAATGCAAGGCATTTGTACTAAATATTAAATAAAAGACCAGACAAATTCAAGTCTTTCCTCTCTGAGGGTGTAGGTAGCAGGTTGCTGGAATCATCATATATATAGATATAGATATAGATATAGATATAGATATAGATATAGATATAGATATAGATATAGATATAGATTATATATAATATAGATTATATATATATAATGATTATATATATATAATGATTATATATATATATATATATATTTATTTATTTATTTATTTTAGACAAAGTCTCACTCAGTCACCCAGGCTGGAGTGCAGTGGCACGATCTTGGCTCACTGCAACCTCTCTCTGCCTCCTGGGTTCAAGCAATTCTCGTGCCTCAGCCTCCTGAGTAGCTGGGACTACAGGCATGTGCTACTACGCCCAGCTAATTTTTGTATTTTTAGT
Source organism: Homo sapiens (assembly GCF_000001405.40). Taxonomy (NCBI): domain Eukaryota; kingdom Metazoa; phylum Chordata; class Mammalia; order Primates; family Hominidae; genus Homo; species Homo sapiens. The sequence goes on along the minus strand of NC_000022.11, from coordinate 32,048,904 downwards.
AGAGACTGGTTTCACCATATTGGCCAGGCTGGTCGCAAACTCCTGACCTCAAGTGATCTGCCTGCTTCGGCCTCCCAAAGTGCTGGGAATACAGGAGTGAGCCACCGCACCCAGCCAATATATCATGACTATTGTGTTAGTATAGAGGAAGGGGAGGACTTTGTCAGACCAGGGAGCCAGGAAAGGCTTACAGAGAGAGCAGTATTTCAGCAAATCTTGATTGAAGAAAGAGTGGAATTTTATTAGAGAAGAGGGAGGAATGTGGTAAGATTCCAGAAACAGCAGATCTAGAGGTGGAACCTCACCCAGCGTGGAGAAGGAGAGAATGGCGAACAGTGTTATCTGATGAGCCTGGCTGAGGCATTTGAATGGAGAGAGTGGTGAGAAGTGGGGCAGAACACCCACTCACAAATGCCAGGCTAAAAAGTGCAGGCTTTATTGCATAGGCAGTAGGGAGCCACTGAGGGTTCATGAGGAGAAAAATGACATGAATCTTCAATATACGATGACCAGCTCCTCCCACAGATCCCTTGGGATGTTGCCTCTAAGCCTTCGGATTATTTCTGGTCCAGCTCAAGCCCAGGGCCAGTCCTCCAGCAGAAAATGGGGTCAGTGCCTCTGTTCCTGGCCCCTGGCCATCTTCCCTCTTCTTCTGTGTTATTGGCTTCTCTCAGTGAACACTTGCTAATAATGTTAGTAGCTGATAGTGACTTAACCCTGTCAGAGGTGGCACCTTTTTTTTTTTTTTTTTTTTACATGGAGTCTCATTCTGTTGCCCAGGCTGGAGTGCAGTAGTGCAGTCTCAGCTCACTGCAACCTCTGCCTCCTAGGTTCAAGCAATTCTCATGCCTCAGCCTCCCGAGTAGATGGGAGTACAGGCACACACCACCACGCCTGGCTAATTTTTGTAGAGACAGGGTTTTGCCATGTTGTCCAGGCTGATCTTGAACTCCTGATCTCAGGTGATCTGCCCGCCTCGGCTTCCGAAAGTGCTGGGATTACAGGCATGAGCCACCATGCCCGGCCGATGTCTGCATTTTCATAGGTGACCACTGAGGCTAAAAAGCATCACTATTCCAAATCACTATTCCAAAGGCATTAACTCCTGATGGTGACATCTCAGGCACTTAGACACTTGTAATTTATTCATCAAACATGCCTGAGACAGATAACATTTTGCTAGGTGCTCAGTCTGCAACGATGTATTGAACTTAGTCCTTTAGGAAGCAGGGCCATTATTGTGTCCCATCAGTCAACATAGATTTCTTGAGCACCCCCATGTGCTGGGCAGTACCCGGGAGAGCATGGCTTGGGTCTTTCTGGACTCCTGGCAGGGCTCTTCCTCCCAAAGGAGATACTGTGAAGTCCTCTGTAGCAGTTTTTTTGGGAATAGCAAGAGACCTAAGAATCAGAAAAGGTAGCTAAGGGCCAAAACAGAAAAAATTCCCAAGGACCTGGTCTGTAGCAACTGACCAAGGAAAAGCCATTCTGAAGGTCACTGTGAAGTTGAAGATTGATATCCCCAGTTGGTCTCAGAAATGAAGAGCTTAGAGGAAGAATGTGAGGGCAGAGACTAGAGTGGGGAGCTGAAATAATTCAGGAAAGATGATGGGGAGGGACAAAAGGTGAAGAGAGGAGTGTATGCACCAAGTCTTTTCTTCTCTGGAATTTTCATCTCCTCATCTATGCAAGCCCAGATCCTACCTATTCATCCTTCAAGGCCCCTCAAAATCCATTTCCCCCATGAAACCCTACTTGACACTCCCCCATGGAAACCTCCTCCTTCCCTACAGCCTCCTCACTTCTCCAAATGAAAGTCTGTGAACACCCAGATGACTTCACTTATGCCTTGTTCACAGCCATTACAATTTTTTTTTACTTTGTGTTACCATATTACAAATTTTTAATTTCACATAATGCTTTGGGCATAATGCCTTGTGCACAGAAAATCATTGTTCTGTGAGCACAAGAGGCTCAAAGGAAAACTTTAAAGTTCCAGACACCACTTTGTAAACAACAGTGTTACATTCACCTGTCCACTCTACAACTACAAGAGAATGAACTCCCAACTCCAAGCTGCTGGGGTAAAAGAAGGACAATTACTGACCCACAATGTTTTGGTTTGGGGTTTACTTGGGTTCTATCTCCATGGAATACAAATATCATTGAGCAGAAAGGAAGAACTTTAGGCCTCTGTCCAGATGAGGAACAACTTAAGAAACTGAGGATGTTGGGCCTGGAGGAGAGAAGCCTCAAGTGTGGCCTGTTGTCTTCTGAAATGTAAAGTGGGACAGACATGATGCTTGGTGTGGCCCACATAGGACACAACCAGACAAAATGAGAGAAGTTCCAGGACATCGCGTCTGAGCCCAGAGCCAAAAGGAATATCCTCTCTGTCAGAGCTGTCCAGAGATTGAAATAAAGCCACTTGGGAGAGTTTCTACTGGAAGTGTTCAGGTGAAGGCTGTTGACAACTAGTCAAGGTGATTTTGTCAAATGATCTAAAGAAAAGCACCAACTTAAAAAAAAAAAAAAGAGCAAAGGAATTCAGCACCACCAGGACACTGTCACAACAATGCAATGATAGTAAGGACCATGGAGGGAGTATTCCCAGAAAGGCAAGTGTCTTGGGGAGTGGGAAAGGTAGAATAGTGGAAAGAGCATTGGCTTTGGCATCATAAGACCTTGATTCTTGTCCCAGCTCTGGGACTGATTCATCTGAATGACTTCTGGTCACCCTCTCCGATCCTCATCTGTAAAACAGAAAGGTTGGGCTCCCTCAAGGGCCATTCCAATTCAATCATTCAGTGATGCTGTCGGTTCAAATGACTGCATAAGACAGGGGTCAGTAAATTTTTTTTCTTTAAAGAAAAAGGGCCTGATGGTAAATACTGAGGCTTTGTGGAATATACAGGGTCTCTACTGCAAATTCTTCATATCTTGTTTTGTTATTTCTTTTTCACAACCCTTGAGAAGTGTAAAAACCATTCTTGGCTTATGGACCATACAAAAACAGGCTGTGAGACAGATTTGGCCCATGGTCCATAGTTTAACAACCCCTGGCTTGAGGGGATTTCAGGATAGCTTGATGAACTCTTCCAGGAAGAATAAGGTCAGAGATCCAGCTTCAAAGGATATAGAATTCCCTAAGAAACAAACTGATAGGTGGTGAAAGAAAAATGGAAATTAACTCTGAAGAAGTAAGAAGCCAAATTCTAAAATATGATTGGAGGAGGCAGAATTGTAAAAGAGCAAAACAGAACCAAATAATGTTGGAAGAGATAGAGAAGGTGACAGAGGGACATTGACTGTGTGGGTCTTTTCTAAGTTGAAGAAACACAATGGGCCTGGACCATTCTGCCTGTGCAGCCCAGAGATCATGAAGGAGTCAGAGTGGCCACCCCTGAATCAAGCCACTCTTGCCACTTTAATAGCAGACAGAGGAGGATAAACTGGAAGAAATCCAATGCATTAAATGACCAGGGTCCAGAGGCATTGTCTAATGGGGGAAGATTAAACATAGACAAATACTAAACAGGCTATTAAGTAGCATTTAGCAGGACAAGTGATACTGATTCACAGATACTTGAAACATGTAAACACCATTTAAAAAGTATAAACACCTACTAGACTGGCAGGGCTAAAATGAGATTGGTTAAGAGAACCGATATTATCAGAGATTGTCTGGGAAACAGGCAGTACTGTATAGCCAGCAGATGACGGGCTCACACCTTGGCTCCAGCACTTATAAGCTGGGGTGGGGTGGAAGGAGGAAGTCAGTCACAGTGGCAGAGTGCCTGGTACCATAAAAAATCAGGAGTCAAGAGATCTGAGTTCCAGGAACAATTTCATCTATTGTAACCTTAGACAAATCACAACCACATGAGGCTTCAATTTCCTCTTCTGTAAAACGGGGATTAGCATTCTGGCCTTCCCTGTCTTGTGGCTTTTGTAAAAATATACTACCCACCTGACCACTGCTGCCCATTTTACTTAAAAGGATAAACATTGTTCAGAGCCCAGATCATACCATGGAAGGTAAATGACAATAGTAGTTTTTTTTAATCCTAGAGTCCATAAACAGCTTTCAGATTCACCTCTGCGTATCCTCACCACAACCATGGGGGAGTCATTAGAATAGATAAGAGTGTACCTATGTTAAAGTTGAGTAAACTGGAGGCTGAGGGAAGTTACCCAATGTTCCATGATTTGAACCATGTGAAAGCCAGTAGTGAACTTGAGTATCCTGGCTCCTAGTTGGTCAGTTTCCACTATGTCTGGGAAGCTGAGAGTATTGAGGAAAAGTCAGCCATACTGACCCCATGTGACACTTGGGAGGCATTCTGCCACATCTAGTTTCTACAATTCCTTTGGAAAAAAAAAAAAAAACACTTCCTTTTGTCCCTGAAAAAGCTCTGTGTCCACAGAAGTGTTCATGCCTACCTTCCTCTCCTCTAAGTCAAAAGAGTTCAACACAATCACCAGCTGCTACAGCAGCCTCCCTGGGCTTATCACCTCCACCTCCATAACAATCACGAGAATGGCTGGAACATCTGCAAACATTTTATATATTTTTTGTAATTTTTTTTATTTTTGTAGAGACAGAGTCTCACTATGTTGCCCAGGCTGATCTCGAACTCCTGGACTCAAGCAATCCTCCCACCTTGGCCTCTCAAAGTGCTAGGATTACAGGAGTGAACCACCACAGTCGGTCCTGCACACTTTTAAAACATCTCCTCCTCTAGTTGTTGGGCCTGCCACAGTCTGTCATAAGTGAAATGCCCATGTTCCAGGTGGCTGAGAACAAGTTTCTCTGGTTTGCTGTGTCCCCAGAGTCCCAAAAGGAGACACACACATTTCCCTCTCCCCAGTGCCAGGTCACCCCCAGGTCTTCCTCCTCCTCCTTTTCCACCCATCTTTCTCATCTCTAACTTGATCCAGCCCCTGGGATCCTCATGCACAAGGCCTCTGGGTTAGCCTCTCCCAGGAGTGGGGCATGGGTCAGCATCCCTCTGTCTGCCACCTCAGCATCCCCATCTCTGGGGCTGGCAGAGGCTGTGGCTTTCCCACTCCACACCATTTCTTTCCCATCTGAAACTGGATGACTAAAAGGTAGGACAGTAGTCACCTGCTAGAGGCTCATCTCCCAAGCCCCAGAGCCCTCCCTGTAGCTCTAAGCAGCCGCTTTCCTGCCCCTTACACTTTCCAGCGGTCTCTTCAAACCCCCACCTTCCTTCTCTGCTCACAGGCTCAGGTATCCTCCTTGGTCCTTCCTGGCAGGCTGCCCTGGGCACCCTTCTCACTTCTGCTCATCCTTGCTTGCCCTCCTCCCTTCATGCTGTGCCTCTGAGTGCTTCTAAAGTGCTTCCAAGTCATTTCCTCTCCCCTCCACCGACACTTAAGCCTACTGCCCCTTGCAGCTCAGCGAGGCCATTGCTCCTCCTCTGTGCGCACCCTCCCCACCCGCATCCCAGAACCCGCTGCATACCCACAGTCCGACGGCCATCACTACCACGAAGTAGATAACGATGATGGAGATATCGGCTGCATTGCGAATGAGCTCGTGGGTCTCAACAGGCCGGGTGACCGCGGTGGTCTTGGGGCTCCAGGTGCTACTGTCCATGGTGGCAGCGTTGCGTCCTTCCCTCTCGCCAGGGCCGCTAGCTCCTTATACGGCCTCCTGGTTAATGATCAGCACCAGGGGAGGGGACCTGGGACTTTGAGGGAGCAGGGCAGTAGCGCGGGGCCCCTGCGATGCCTTGCGGCTGCACCGTCAGGAAGCAGCTCCGGGCGTGGAGCCCAGGAAGGAGCACCCGGCTGAGCTGTTGGCTGGGGCGGCGGCCCGGCAGGTAAGAGCTGTCCTGCGAATGGGGAGGGGCCAGCCAGGGGGTGGTGCCCGCCTGGCACAAAGGCCCACTGTACTCCCACAGCAGGCACCAGCAGCGCCACCACACCTGCCCTTGCCAGAGCTGGAGTGGCTCCATTGAGGGAACAGGCCACCTGGGGC